>NC_000010.11:16525151-16676666 GCF_000001405.40 Homo sapiens | reverse complement strand
ACATTTTGGATTTTCAGACTAGAGATAATGCACTGGTAAATAGAGTACAAATATGTCAATCCAAAAAATCTGAAATCCAAAATACTTCTGGTCCCAAGAATTCTGGATAAAGGATTGATATGGTTTGGCTGTGTCCCCACCCAAATCTCATCTTGAATTGTAGCTTCCATAATCCCCACATGTTGTGGGAGGGACCCAGTGGGAGATAATTGAATCATAGGGGTGGGTTTTTCTCATGTTGTTCTTGTGATAGTGAATAAGTCTCATGAGATCTGATGGTTTTATAAAGGGCAGTTCCCCTGCACACAGTCTCTTGCCTGCCACCATGTAAGATGTGCCTTTGCTCATCCTTCATCTGCTGCCATGATTGTGAAGCCTCCCCAGCCATGCAGAACTGTGAGTCCATTAAGCCTCTTTTTCTTCATAAGAAGTTTAATTTATAAACTACTCAGTCGTGGGTATTTCTTCATAGCAGTATGAAAATGGACTAATACAGGGATCAACCTGTGTTATTTTGTAGTCGGGCTTCAGTCTGTTAATGCATATTAAAGGGTATGACCTTTCTCTAGAATACTTACTAGTATTTGTCTCTTTTGGACTTGAGGATGGACTCCTGGCTTTTCTTGGCTCATCATGTACCAACTGACTGTAATCAGATTGGCCAGGACAGTCTTTACCAAGCTTTCTGCGTGATCCCTTCTTTGTCTTTGTTTTATTAGCTCTAGACTCAGGCTCTAATTCTGTTGCCCATCCAAGAATGAGCCCTTCTCCAGGGAGCTCTTATCCACTAAGTGGAAAATCATATTAGCATCCAAATCTGAGGCCCAGGAAAGTTTTAGAGCATGGAAGCAGAGGCAGGGTGATGTCAGGTCTGCCAGCTATTTGAGTGACAAAGCAGAAAAATTACTTTCTACTCAAAGGAGCACGCGTTCATGTTGATGTTCTCCATTTACTTCTATCTTTTTTACATTTATTTTGTCCTTACTATATTACCAGAATTTATTAATCCAGTCCCCCTTTGCCAAGCCATATGTACTAAATGAAACCATGTGTTTATGTGAATAGTGATCCCATATTTCCAAATTTTCCTTTTCTTGTCTCTTCCTGACGCTGGTCTCTAGTGTTCTGGAATTGGCTGCCAAGTGTGTAAGCTCAGGAAGTTCCCCTTGTTACTGTCCACAGAGCAATACCTGCCTGAAAAGAAAAAGAAACAGCGACCTCCTTCTAGGTTTTATACTTTAAAAAAGAAAAAAAGAAGTGTGGGCCACTCAGTAGTAGAAAGCCTTAGGTCACCTGATGTCTAGGTAGAATACCATTTAATTATGGAACAATAACAGTGACATCGGGAAGACATAACTACAAAACCTTTTGAAGTCTGTTACCTCCTGATTTTCTTGGGCACTAATGTTTGTCTTTTAACACTAACAGCTTTACACTTTTTTTTCTTTCTTTTTTTTTTTTTTTTTGAGACAGAGTCTCGCTCTGTTACCCAGGCTGGAGTGCAGGGGTGCAATCTCACCGCAACCTCCGCCTCCTGGATTCAAGCGATTCTCATGCCTCAGCCTCCCAAACAGCTGGGGTTACAGTATGTACCACCATGCCTAGCTAATTTTTATTTTTATTTATTTATTTTTGATACAGGGTCTCACTCTGTCGCCCAGGCTGGAGTGTAGTGGCACAGTCTTGGCTCACTGCAACCTCCGCCTCCCAGGTTCAAAAGATGCTCCTGCCTCAGCCTCCCGAGTAGCTGGGATTACAGGCGTGTGCCACCACGCCTGGCTAATCTTTGTATTTTTAGTAGAGATGGAGTTTCGCTGTGTTAGCCAGGCTGGTCTCGAACTCCTGAGTCTCAAGTGATCTGCCCACCTCGGCCTCCCACAGTGCTGGGATTACAGCTTCTGGCCGGCTTTACACTTATATTCAGTTTCTAAATGACCTTAGGCTTGCTGTCTTATCTCATTCAAGTTTCAGTTCAAATGCCATCTCAGCAAAGTTTTTTCCATTATCACTGTATCTAAAGTGGACCCCATCGCCCACCACCCACTCCTGCCTCCAATTTTATCGTCTCTCTTATGCTTAGAATGGAGTCTCCTGCAAGAGCGGGAGACGTAGTTTTGTACACTGCTCTGTCCTCAGGAGCTTCAGACATTGCCTGGCACCTAGTGGACTCTCTGAATATTCGATGAGAGCTGTTGTTGTTTCAAGCATACTTTGTCACCTGCAGTGTAAACATTTCTGTTAGAGGATTTAAAAAAAAAAAAAAAAAACCTTCCGTGACACATCCGTGACACATTTTCAGTGTTTCCCTTTTCCTTGTGTCTGAGTTGCTCAGATTTCATATTATTACTGCCACTTCCATCACCATAAATGTTGCTCTGATGTTTCCAAGGCTGCAGCCTTTCCCAACCAGCTATTTCCCATCAAATCTAGTCGCTCTTTTTAGCTAGGCTTTGAAAGAAACTCCTGCACACAGAATTTTAAAGGGCAATATCGGGGGCCAGGGGGAGGGGAACAAAACAAAAACAGACGCTTTGTTTGACCTGGACTCAGCCCACTTGCCTTATATTTTGTTTTGTTTTTGAGTCAGCCAGGCCTCCCATCCCCTAACAGACACCTCTGTGTGTAGGACCTAGATATTGGCTGCTGAGAGCCTCAGGATGCAGGTGTTGCTTTTGTGTTCCATCACGATGGTGTGAAAGAGCCTATAAAAGGTAAATTGGCAGGCTTTGAACTATAGTAATTGCTTGAAAATAAACAGCAGAGGAGAGGGGAGGGGAGGCAGCTCTTCTTCCCAGCCCTTAAAATATGTGCGGGTTACGTTGGCAAGTCAGAAAAAGTACTTAGAGCCTGATCTCTGAACCTAAGGACCTAGGCAGAAGCGAGCATAAAGAGTCCCTCAGTCATCACGCAGTCTTTGGGTGCCAGAGGTCTCCTGATCAGCCCCATTGAGAAGCATCTGTGTGCTGCAGGAGGCTGTGCCGTTGCTCATCCTTCCACCTGCGTCATTTGAGATGGAGCCTGACCTGTTGAACACAGGGACATCCAGCGCCAGTCAGGCATGATCACGTGCTTCAAGAAACATTTGGCTTTTCTCCACACAGAAGAATCCTGTCAAGACAGGGCTTCTCCATTTGAGCTTAAATTTTCTCACAGATGGAATTAATTTCCTATATTGCTAAGAAAAATTCTCCCAGTCAAATTCCCATTGTTAATTAAGTGTTGAGGAGAAAATTGGTATTTTGTTTCTTTCTCCTAAAATGTGGAAATAACATGGTTTCATTTTAATTATGTATGGCACCAGTAAAAAGAAAAATTTGTAGCTGCTCTGTTCATGTTGGAGCAAATGTCCTGCTTTTGAGAATAAGTGTGGCTGCATGCTATACAAAAGAGAAACAGGGACTCCACAGCAATTGTCAGAACCACAGTATCACAGCGCTTCTGGTCTCTGAGTCCTACCAGGTACCGGAGATGAACGCTTCTCCCAGCGGGACTTATGGACCCTGAAGAAGCATTTCAATGGGGTCAAAGGACTTCTGAATACCCTCTAAGGAAATGTACAAAAACTATGAAGTGCCTTTTAATGAGGAGCAGGTGTAGCCTTGGAGAATAAGCTTGCCCTAGGAGACATGCTAGGTTCTCTTCCACCTGTAGACCAGTGGGTGTAAGCCTGGCCCTGGAAACAGGCTGCCTGGGTTCAAGCCCTACCCTTACCTTTTGCTAGCTTTGTGACATTGGGCCAGATAGATTTGTTTTTCTTTTAACATCTTTATTTGACAACAATTGGCATACAACAGACTACAATTAGGGTGTACAGTTTGATGCATTTGATAAATATATACATCTGTAAAACAATCAACTTAAGACAGTGAACAAATTCCTCATCCCCAAGGGTTTTTTTATGCCCATGTATAAACCATATTTCTCATTTGTGCCTCTCCCTTCATTTCCCCCATCCCCAGGCAACCACTGACCTACTTTCTGACTGTATGTTTGCATTTTGTAGAGTGTTCGATAAATATAGACATATAATGTGTACTCTATTTAAAAAAAAACAACTGGCTCCTTTCATTCAGCATAAGTATTTTGAGAGTCATTCATTCTTGTTCCATGCATCAGTAGTTGATATCTTTTCATTGCTGATTTGTAGTCCATTGTGTGGATATACCTCAGTTTGTTTATCCTTTTGCCTGCTGGTGGACGTTAGGCTTATTTCCAGTTAGGGGCTATTAGAAATAAAGCTGCTGTGAGCTTTTGTGTAAAAGTCTTTTGTTGAACATGTGCTATTGTTTCTCTTGGGTAAACACCTAGGAGTGGAATGCGTGGGTCATATGGCAGGTATGGATTTACCTTTTTTTTTGAGACAGAGTCTTGCCCTGTCGCCCAGGCTGGAGTGCAGTGGCGTGATCTCAGCTCACTGCAAGCTCTGCCTCCCGGGTTCACGCCATTCTCCTGCCTCAGCCTCCTGAGTAGCTGGGACTACAGGCACCCGCCACCACGCCTGGCTAATTTTTTTTTTTTTTTTTTGTATTTTTAGTAGAGACGGGGTTTCACCATGTTAGCCAGGATGGTCTCAGTCTCCTGACCTCATGATCCGCCTGCCTCAGCCTCCTAAAGTGCTGGGATTACAGGCATGAGCCACCGCGTCTGGCCAGATTTACCTTTTTAAGTAACTGCAAAACTGTAAAATAAGATAATCCTGGATTATCTGATATACAATTTCTCACTTAAAAGCCTTTGAGCCAGCCGGGCATGGTGGCTCATGCCTGTAATCCCAGCACTTTGGGAGGCCGAGGGGGGTCGATCACAAGGTTAGGAGATTGAGACCATCCTGGACAACATGGTGAAACCCCATCTCTACTAAAAAAATACAAAAATTAGCTGGGCATGGTGGTATGTGCCTGTAGCCCCAGCTGCTTGGGAGGCTGAGGCAGGAGAATTGCTTGAACCTGGGAGGTGGAGGTAGCAGTGAGCCAAAATCGCGCCACTGCCCTCCAGCCTCGCAACAGAGTGAGACTCCATCTCAAAAACAAACAAACAAAAAAAAACACCTTTGAGTCAGGTGTGGTGGTATGCGCATGTAGTCCCAGTTACTTGGGAAGCTGAGGTGGGAGGATCGCTTGAGCCCAGGAGATTAAGGATACAGTGAACTCAGATCATACCACTGTACTCCAGCCTGGACAACAGAACAAGACCCTGCCTCAAAACAAAAACAAAACAACCCCCTTTGGGGCCTTTGAGGAAATGACTAATTGCAGGTCCCTATCAGGAGAATGTAGAACAAAGCCTCAAACATCTTAACAATCCAGAAAGCAAGGGAGCTATCAAAGATTGTCAAAAGATCACACCTGTAATCCCAGCTCTTTGGGAGGACAAGGCAGGAGGATCACTTGAACCCAGGAGTTCCGAGACTAGCCTGGACAACATAGTGTGACCCTGTTTCTACCACATTTTCTTAATCCAGCCCACCATTGATGGGCACCTAGGTTGATTCCATGTCTTTGCAATTGTGAGTAGTGCTGTGATGAACATAGGAGTAGGTGTAAATTGTTCTACCACAAGGTTCTTTCATTTCAGTCATTTCAGGAGCTTTAACAGGGTTCTGGCTGGGTGTGGTGGCTCATGCCTGTAATCCCAGTATTTTGGGAAGCCGAGGCAGGTGGATCACCTGAGGTCAGGAGTTCAAGACCAGCCTTACCAACATGGTGAAACCCCTTCTCTACTAAAAATACAAAAAATTAGCCGGGCGTGGTGGTGGGCCCCTGTAATCCCAGCTACTGGGGAGGCTGGAGCAGGAGAATCACTTGAACCTGGGAGGTGGAGGTTGTAGTGAGTCAAGATTGTGCCGTTGGACTCCAGCCTGGGTGACAAGAGCAAGACTCAGGCTTAAAAAAAGAGGTTCTGTGGCGCTATCCATGGTGCTGACCAGTACTGACCAAGGGAACACCAGAAGAAAAAGAGGCAAAGCAGGGAGCATGAAAGATGAGTTTGGTCTTATGTGCACTAAATTTGAGGTTTTGGGAGACCCTTAAGTGGAGAGATATCTAATTGAGAATGTCTTATGGGCTTGGAATTCAGGAAGCAAGTTTAGGCTGGAGGTAGAACTTACCTTCCTGTGGCCAAGTCCTCCCAGAAACCCTGCTTTGATTAGTCACCAGCCTGGCAACCCCTCATTATGGTGCAGCCCAGAATACTGCAGCAACAGAATATTCTAGCTTCAGGGCCTTTTGCTTTGAAGAGGTAGGTTCTCAGTTTATCAATTCATGTCTGTGGGTATGCATTGCTAGCTGCTTTGAGGAGTTTTGTTTATCAGATTGAGTGGCCATATCTTGGATCTTACCATGGAATAAAAAGGGGTCTTTAGCATGTACGATTATGTAGCAAGCTCAGTGAACACTGTCGAAATCTATCTCTTTTCATTTTAGGCACCAAGCCAAGTTTGCTAGCCCCTGCGCTTTCTTCTGTAATTTAAAATGTTCTACGTTTTTCCTCCTTAGTTATTCTCCAGCATAAGCAATGGGAAGTAAACAATTCACCTGGTCAGCTTAGAAAACAACTTACTGAATTGATTTGCACTACATGGGCCTGAGTAGAAACTGCTTTATCTAGATCTTAGTTTTATAATTTGGGAGAAAAGATGGACCTAGACACCATTTGTGAGAGACTACAGTTTCTATGAACTCCTCTTAATCAGTCTATAAGGTAAGAAAGACATACTATATGCTATTAAATACCAGTACTTTTGCCTTCTTGCTCTGACTTTGGGCATGTAAGTATGAATAAAGAAGAGAAGATGAATTTACAATAGCAAAGACATGGAATCAACCCCAATGCCCATCAGTGATAGACTGGATAAAGAAAATATGGTACATATACACCATGGAATACTACGCAACCATAATATAGGAATGAGATCATGTCCTTTGCAGGGACACGGATGGAGCTGGAAGCCATTATCCTCAGCAAACTAACACAGGAACAGAAAACCAAACACCACATGTTCTCATTTGTAAGTGGGAGCCGAACAATGAGAATACATAGACACAGGGAGGGGAACAACACACACACATAAAACAAACAAAAAAAAGAAGATGAAGAAATGGCAGCTTTTGTAGATGAGTGTCACTGTTAGGAAGAGGGAGGTTTCTCTTTGATGATGTGGAAAGAAGACATTGGCTTGGCTTTCCCTGGGGTGGGTAAGTAGCCAAACACGGTGAAAGATCAGCAGCTGGTAGAAATTCCAAAAGGGGAATTAATGAAAAATGGTTAAAAAGCAGTATGGTGCTTTGGGGGGGGAAAAAAAACAGAAAATGTTAATTTCAAGAAGACAATACAACAGAAATCACATGGGCCTTTTAGAGTGAGGCAGGCCTGGGTTTGAATGACAGTTCTACATTCTGGGTGGTCACATGATCGTGAGCGCATTATTTTAATGCCCTGAATTTTTTTTCTTCTGTAACATATTAGGAGTTGCACGTTTGTAGGTCACACTGTGCACAGCTCTGGTCTAGCATTTGTTTTGGGAAAAATAAGATCTGATAGCAGAATTCTAACATTTGTATAAATGTTCCTCTTAACAGAAACTTACAAAGACTCTTTGTAATAGACTGCAGGTCAAAGTAGTGAGGCTTGAACCGCTACAGAAAGCACAACAGTATTAAAGGAAAAGTGCACCACCTCTTGGTGAATGAACATGTCTATGGCCATAACTATATATAAGATTATCTGAGAAGTTTGGTAACCTTAAACATATAACCAGCCATATTTGTACACAACAGGCTTTCTGAGGAGACATAGTTGCCTGGAATCATGTCAGTGGCTGATACTCTTGAAACGGCAAATTGACATCACAGTGGGAAAAGTGTAAACCACCATCAAAGACAGAAAATGAGGTCACTGCAGTGTGCCTCCTTTTATTTACAGATCTAGGAAAGTTAATAATGAGGGAGATCAGAGGAAGGGGAGTAGAAAGGAGACAAAATAGGAATGCTCTTGAAATTTATATCTGAGGACCTTTGTGACTGCACTGAGAACCAGGGAAAGCAGTAAAACTTGGGGGGAAAAAAAACCATGTTCAATTAAATCCTATTTCAAATGTTTTATGATGTTCAAATTTTATAGAATTATAAAGTTCAGGAAACCATAGAAATGATCTCATTTTCCTTGTTACTTTTTAGATGATGAAATTGAGTTCCAAAATGATTAAATGACCAACCCAAGACGATCTAGCTAGGTAATATATTTTGCTCACAGGATCTTCTCAACCACTGGTCCCTCTGCCTGAAACGTGTCTTCTATACAATACTCATCGTCCTTCATTGCACAGTTAATTTCCACTGTTCTGCAGATTTTAGGTCTTTTATCACTTTCCTTTGGGAGTCTACCCTGATCACTGCCCCCACATCTCATCAAGGTCAAATAATGATAATAACAGAAAACAACCTCATCTAATGTTCATTGAATACTTATTAATCATGATAACTCTATGAGGTGAATACTGCTTATCCCCATTTTCTCAAAGGAGAAGCTGAAATACAGGGGGATTAAGTAACTTGCTCAAGGTTACAGTTTTAATATGTAGTAGAGCCAGAATTGAAACCCAAGCATTTCTCACTGCAAACTCCAAGCTCAGTCCTAGTCTACCAGTTATTCTATTATCAGAATACCTTGCTCCTCCTTTAGCATTTATTGTTCTCATATATTTATATTTATTTGTGTGGTTATTTGATTAATACGTTTTTTTCTACTAGAATGTAACTTTTAGGCTCAGATTACGTATCTTTTTGATTCACCAAATTTTGCTTAGAGCCTAAGTACCTGATATCTGGCAGGCTCATTGAATATAGTTCATATGTAAAGTAGAGGTGATAATAGCATATTTTGGCCAGGCACAGTGCCTCATGCCTGTAATTGCAGCACCTTGGGAAGCCAAGGTGGGCAGATCACCTGAGGTCAGGAGTTCGAGACCAGCCTGGCCAACATGGCAAAACGCTGTCTCTACTAAAAATGTAAAACTTAGCCCGGTGTGGTGGTGCACGCCTGTAATCCCAGCTACTTGGGAGGCTGAGGCACGAGAATCACTTGAACCCAGGAAGCAAAGGTTGCAGTGAGCCAAGATAGCACCAGTGCACTCCAGCCTGGGTGACAGAGGGAGACTCTGTCTCAAAAAAAAAAAAATTAATAAATAATAGAGTTAATGGCATATTTTATGGTACTATTTAATTGTACCCTAGTACTAATTGCATTGTTTGGAGAATTGAGATAATATATACAGAGTAGTCACTAGTTCATGTCACTCGCTAGTACTCAGTAACTGAAAGGAGGTTAATTGTAATAAATAGATTTAGCTTAAGATAACAAGACAGAATCTGAATCCAAATGCTCAGTGCTCTTAACTTTTATTCCCTACCCCTTTGGGTACCTATAATGAACATTATTAGAAAAGTGAATCTTAGAAAATATATTGCTTCCCAGAGATGATTTCAGATTAACTAACAGACAGCTAAAGTATAAGTTCCCTCCTTGGTGTCAGTTTTATTCTTGAGCTGGAGATAGACCCAGAGTCTTTATGACTCAGTGGTAATTAACAGATAACTTGTTTTTTTCTTTGTTTTTTGTTGTTGTTGTTGTTGTTGTTGTTTGTTTTGCTTTGTTTTGGTTTGGTTTTTTTTGATGCGGAGTCTCACTCTGTCGCCCAGGCTGGAGTGCAGCAGTAGCGTAATCTCAACTCACTGCAACCTTCGCCCCGCAATGCTGGGGTTCAAGCAGTTCTCCTGCTTTAGCCTCCTGAGTAGCTGGGATTACAGGCATGCGTCACCATGCCTGGATAATTTTTGTATTTTTATATAAAGATGAGGTTTCACCATGCTGGCCAGGCTGGTCTTGAACTCCTGACCTCAAGTAATCCACCCACCTTAGCCTCCCAAAGTGCTGAGATTACAGGTGTGTGCCACCGCACCCGGCTGATGGCTCATTTTTTAACACCCTGAGTTTAAGGTGGCTGTGAGCCCACCTAGAGATTTCCCAGGGGCAGTTAGGTCTATCCTTGCAAAACACAAACTTGTTATAATAGTTTTGGACTATTTTTAAATACTTTAGTGCAAACACTATGTGATCCACCTGCCTCGGCCTCCCAAAGTGCTGGGATTACAGGTGTGAGCCACCACGCCTGGCCCAGATAACTCTCTGAACCAGCATCTCAAGCTTTGGCCATTAGGAAAGTCTAAAGTAAGTATCTTCAGATCAACATGTTATTTGAGAGTGCAGTTGTGATGTCCTTGTTCAGTTACTGCAGGAGAAGGGTACTTGCTTCTTTACCCTTTCTTTGACCTTTTAGATGTATTTGTTTCTACACGCATTCTGTGGCTTTCTGTGTATATTTCAAAGATGTAGATATGATCTATTATTTCAAATCATATCCTTGAAGTTCAGCAGTGCTATCTCTAGGTATAAAAGTACTTGTAGTAAGGGATCATCAATGTATTCTAGTATACAGACCTAGAATAGCTGTAGAATAAAAATTGAGTTATATTAATAACCTGTAAAATAGTCACAGATAAAATGGTGAAGAGATCAAAATTAATCTTAAAAAAGCATAAGCCAAAAATGCAGATATCATAGGGTCAAAAATAGTGATATTCATGAAAGTTATGATTAATTATTTAATCCCAAGGACACAGTATACTTTAAAAATATATTTCAGGTTCACAATTGACTAGCTATTTTATGTGGCAGAATACCAGCTTTGCATATTTATTAAAATTATTCATAACTGCATAGCAGCCTAGTTGAACTGTTGAGTCCTTGTTCCTTTGTCCAATATGTTACCTTGTCCATTTATCATAGCACTGTAATAGAAATTTGTCTAAATTTTAGGATGATCCGTGGAATATCTTCAGTGTCAGCATGTCTTAAATATTTTATTCTTTCCGTTTTGCCTAATATGATCTTTTTACATAGGTTTAGAAGATATCTCCATGGGGAAAAAAATGCAGTTTTTTTAAGGAATAAATTTTAGACAGAAGTCTTTGTTCAAAACGAAAAGTTATTATATATCATTAATATTTATGTGTCAAAATATTTCTCTTACATAAAAATCTGGACAAGATGTGAATGCTTTTTGTGGAAGAATGGAAGTTTGTGTTCTTCATGCAGATTTTGAGATAACTATGTTTGCTTTGAGTATTATTTGTTGAGAATTTAATGCATTGCTGTGGTCATTCAATTTAACAGTGTATTTGGGTGGTGGGTTCTGGAGTCAGACTTCCTTTAGTTCAAATCCTGAGCCCACCACTTAGTGTTTATGTTGTTTAACTTTCTGAGCACCAGTTATCTCATCTGTAAAATTAGATGATAATAGTGTTCTTCTTGGAGGGTTGTTAGGAAAGAGTGTATGAGATAATGCATATAAGAGCACTTAGAACGTGACCAGGTGTGGTGGCTCATGCCTGTAATCCCAGCACTTTGGGAGGCTGAGGCAGGTGGGATCACCTGAGGTGAGGAGTTTGAGACTAGCCTGGCCAACATGACGAAACCCCATCTCTACTGAAAATACAAAAATTAGCCCAGCGTGACAGCATGCGCCTGTAATCCCAGCTACTCAGGAGACTGAAGCAGGAGAATTGCTTAAACCTGGGAGGCTGAGGTTGCAGTGAACTGAGATCGTGCCACTGCATTCCAGCCTGGGCGACAGAGTGAGAATCTGTCTCAGAAAAAAAGAAGAAAGAAAGAAAAAAGAACTGAGTCAGACACATAATAAGCATTCAATAAATACTAGGTGCTGTCAGTGTTAATAATAGTATATCATGGAATGCCTCAGCAAGCATAGGCTAGAGTTTTATCAAGAATATATGGTAAAGAGAAGTTTATTTCCGGTATTATGTCTCTAAACTGCTAAAGACTTCATTAGAAGATGATGTTAGGAAAGAAAAGTTGTACAACTCTTTAGCTAGAATATTAATTAAATTATAGTAGAGTTCAAAGAAGTCTCAGATAATCTAGTTTAATGACCTCTCTTTGCGTAGGTAAAAAGTGTAGTTCCCATAGGTCAAGTGACCACTGCAGGATCACCCATCTGGGACTGCAGACTCTAACCCAGGTCTCCTGGTTCAAAGCCTAGTACTCGGCCTGTTTTGAAACACTCATTTATTAGCAAGAAGCATTCATCAATGTTGTCTTAGATGCAGCAATTATTTTGGGAAATAAGCAGTACATGAAATTTTAGGCAGTATGTAACACTTCCTTGCTTCTCTGGGTTTGGTGTCCTAGTGACTTTTAAGCCTCCAGAAATATCTTTCCACATACCTAAGAGTCACACAGAAAGTGATTGACTGTCGCAGAGCTAGAGCCATCATCAGTGCGTGTGAGCAGCTCTCCCTGAATTCCTCATTGGGACGATAGTGGTCGTTTTGGTATGGGTACAGAAAATGGAATATCCGTGGAGTGATCTGTAATTTCCCTCAAGACCTCATAAACTTCTAAAATTAACATAAAGCCTTTCTTCCTTATAAAATAGAGTCATGTGTTAAAGGAGATGCATTAGATGCTTCTGTGCAGTATATTTTAGTAGGTTCTATAAAATTTGCAATAAAGGAAAGGTCAGTGTTGGTACCATAAACAGTGTTCGTGGAGTCATATTTAACCCTAGTCCCTTCTGTGACTCCTGGAGTGTAGAGTAATTGAACTACTCTTCTTTGAAAATGCCCCTGTACCCGTCACTGCCCAAGAAAGACCCCACTACTACCCAGCACTCTTTTCTTAGAGGCACTACCTGCTCCTGGCTCTGGGACCCACCTGTCACCAAAGGGCAGTCTGAAAAGAGGGTGGATTTCATCTCATTTACAGCATGGGAGTGGAAGCTTCCCTTCTGGCTCAGCCACAGTTTTGTAGTTGAGGTGAAAGTGAAAAGACTGTCGTCACACTGATCTGTGGGGTATGCAGAGCAGAGTCCTCCTTCTGTATTTTGGTGATCACATGTGAAACTAAGAGAGTGCAAGGGTGACCTCTGCATACTGACGACACATGTAGTTGTACTGCGCGGCGAGTGGCTATTCATGTGACCTTTCTGGCTGTAGGCGTAGCTTCCCAGCCTGCAGAGGCTCCTGCACTGTATAATGGCAGAGATAATGGCCCTGGGCTTGTTCCACAGAGCAGTTTTCAAGCTTAATTGAAGAATATTTTTAACCCATTATCAAGAGCATTAGGAGGAAATTTTCGAAGAGTCTTGCTTGATACAGCTCTTTCAATTGAAGAAAGTAGACTCCCAAGTAAGCAAATTACAACCTTAAATAGTAATCCATCTTTATTTGCAATCCCTTCATCTTTCCAGGATAAAGACTCCTCTCTTCACTCTGAAAGCATGAAAAGGGGCAGATCCAGACAGAGCATCACACATGCTTCTTCCTCCTGGTGTACAGGAGCACGTAGGGCCCTTTGTTTAGAACAGGATGCCTTTGAATGGACTGCCTTGAAAAAATTTTTCAGAACGATCCTAACCATGTCTGCCAGGCTCTCATGGCGCATACAGATCTGGTTGGAAGATATTTAAAGGTGTTCAGGCAACGTGAAGGGAAAGCACCCATCTGAGACACCATGAATGGGCTTTTCTTTACGTCATTATTTCTAGCTCCTTTCTGTTTCTACGCTGAGCAAATTTGCTCTCATCCTTTCAAACTTAGAGGGTTTTTTTTTTTTTTTAAAGATTGCTGAGAGATGCCCCCGAAATTATGATTACCACAGCCAGTTTCTCACTCAGTCATGGACTATAGTCAAATTTAATCTTATCTTTAACTTCACAGAATAGTTAATGTTATCACACGCTTGATTTCTTGGATTATTTTGTCTTTTACTTTTAAAATGGCAGGAGAAAAATAACCCGATTTTTTTCTGTAATTAAAATAAGTCTGTATGAATTAGCATATGAGTGATCAGATAATATCTAACCAGTTGAAGTTTGGAAGTTCCTTTCGTTTAAACAAAAATAGAATTTCAGCACCATTTTCATTTATTGATTCTTCTTTTCCTGTATTTCACAGTTTTTAAAAATGTGTTTGAAGTCACCAAAAATATACTTCTAATGCTGTGACTAAATTTGCCACAATTAAGACACCCAAGAGTCCATCAGGGTTAAAGTAGGCTACAATATGTTTATAAGGACAGGCAAAAGGTGTCAGTGTAATTTTATTAGGAAAGTGAAAAAGAGAAGTCTATGGGCAGTCAGGAACAAGCTGAGTTATTTACCAAAAATATATGGTAACTTCTCTTTTAGGTGTGTAGTGTGTATCTCAAAGAAACACATGTTAGTTCACAAGGATTTATGATTTTTTGATTAATCAGAAATCCATTCAAAAAATTTACCAGTATTTCTCAAAGAGAAGTGCTGTCTGTAGACACCATGGGCACATGAAGTAAAATAATCTGTGAAAATTCTTTGTCTTGTAAAAATAGGAGTGCCAATCTGATCAATGTATTGTGTTATACCAGCTGTGTGGGTGTTACAGAATGAATTTTGGTCTCAATTTTGTAACTTACAGAAAAGCTATAATTGCAGTCTCTCCTGCCCACTTGTATGGTCAACTAATTTTAACCATCTCTAAAAGGCACTTGCAAAAAGGGAAAAATGCCCAATTCTTGGGTGCATGGGCAAAATATACATATAGAAATGATAGTTCATGAGGACCAGATATTCTGAAAACCTTCTCACCATGGTAGACTAGATGCAGAATGAGTCAGAGAAATGTATTTTATAACTATATTGCTGAACTTGTAAGAGTAGAGGAAAATCCTCAAGGGGCAGAAAGACCTTATAATAATTTGAAACCAAAGAAATGTGCTAAAGGAGACCAGGACTGTCTCAATAGCAATGCCCATGTAAGGAACTCAGAACTTAACCACTATGGAAAAAGATGACTAGGCCTGGGGTTTGGTTGCAGTTGGAGGACGAAACTCTTTCACAAAGCTAGCACATTCAAAGGGGCTACCCCCTCAGAGAAAGTCAGAGCTGAAAAAATTAGCCTACCAAGAAAGGAAGCAGATGGGAAAATGTGTCTGCTTTTGCCATTGCTCTACATCAAGGAAAAATAGTAGTCATCATAGTCATCTTCTCTCCTCTCCTAACCATTTGTGACTATAAGCTTAATGTTGGATGGGCATGCAGTATAAGTATACGCTACTTGCCAGGTCATGGAAACTACATTTAAAAAATGTAGATAATTTGTTTCCAAATTGGTGGAACTCTGTGGCATTTGGTAGAGATAAGCATAAATCTGGAGCAAAGCATTAACAAAATCGTGTCCTAAGGATTCCTACAGATTCAACTGATATGAAGTCATCATAAATACTTACACACACACACACACACACACACACACACACACACACACACGCACTCTCTACATATCACACATACACTCTCAGGGAAGCAATGAAAAATTACCAAACAGGGAATAACATAAGCCAAAATTTGCAAGACTCAGCAGAAACAAGAAACACAGATCTACATCCCCCATGCCTTATAACATTGGGGTGCAGAATACTGCATATAGAAAAATACATGTGAGCTATATAGAGAAAAACGTTGAGCAAAGAGTCAGCAACCATCAAAAACAACCAGAAAGATCTGAAAAATAATAGAATAACAAGAAATGAAAAATATAATCATTGCAATTAAAATTTCAGTAGATAGGTTAAAAGGGTATTACACATAAATGAAGAGAGAGTAAGTGGGCCAGGAACAGTGGCTCACACCTGTAATCCCAGCACTTTGGGAGGTTTGCAGTGGGTGGATCACTTGAGGCCAGGAGTTCGAGGACAGCCTAGCCAACATGGTGAAACCCCATCTCTACTAAAAATACAAAAATTAGCTGGGCGTAGTGGTACGTGCCTGTAATTCCAGCTACTAGGAGGCTGAGGTGGGAGGATCACTTTGAGCCCAGGAAGTGGAAGTTGCAGTGAGCCTAGATGGTGCCATTGCACTTCAGCCTGAGTGACAGAACGAGAGCCTTCCTCAAAAAAAAAAAAAAAAAAAGAGAGTTCAAGAATAAATGAACTGGAAACTCATGAAAAAGATAACACAAAACACAGAGTAACGAGATGAAAAACAGTAAAGAGAGAGTAAGACATAGGGATGACAAATTGAAAAGATTTAACATATGTTGATTGAAGATCCACTATATTAAAATACTGAAAATGAGAGAAGTTAAGAATTGGGAAAGGTTTGAGATTTTACCTTCCTTCCAAGCTCATAAATTAGCTTCCCACAGTTTCATGGATGCTGTTTGAAGACACAACATTCCTGGGTCAAACACAAAGGACTTTATTTCTCACCGCACAACAGGTAGCGTGAACTTTATGTTCAAGCCAATTCCCCCTGCTCCCCAAGTCCCATGGGGATGATGTGGCCCTGATGCACACTGGGCGTGCAGTGAGTTTGGGTCATGCCCAAAGACACCTGAGCTTCGGAAGCCCAAGCCTTTTAAAATGGTCTGTAAGCAAATGTGCTCTTTACCTTGGAGGGAGACATTATCTTTAGTATTATTTATCGTAGTAGACAGTATTACCTTACTAGACAGTAAACAAATCTGCTGTCTGCTCCAGAGAGACACTATCTCTATCTTCCAAATATCCTTGAATAGTTTTTTCTGAACTGATGCTGTCAGGGCCTCTGCTCACAAAATATGCAAAAGTTTGTGAGTCCCATGGAGAATTATTTCCCACTAGTGGAGAAACAATTTAAGACTGAGACGTTTCAGAACGCTAGAACATTGGAATCCTCTGATACAGTTTACACTTTGTATACCAAGCAGCACTAATACATATATAGTTAGACCTATCATGGTGGACACCAAAAACAAAAGAGGAGACATTAAAAACAACCAGTAAGAAAAGAGTTCAAATTGACAAGCTAATTCTGCAGTTATTTGGAAGAGTGAAGGGTCAGAAATAACAAAAACCCTCCTGAGGAAGAACCAAAGTAGTAGAGATGGGCTGTCTTGCCTTAGAGACATTAAGGTCTGTTATAAAGCTATAATAACGAAGACAGCCTGGTATTAGGGTGCCAGTGTAGTTACAGACAAAGAGACCAATGGAACAGGATAAAAAGCCCATAAATAATCTCATGCATATATGCACACTTGACTTACAATGGAAGGAGTATTGCAGATCAGTGGGGAGAGACTGAACTAATCAATAAATCATGCAGTTACAAGATCATACATGTGGAGAAACAAAATGAAACCAGATCCTGAAGTACACAAAAAATCGGTTCCAGGTATATTGAATATTTGTATTTTTAAATCACCAACAGAAAGGTTTTAAAGGAAAGGAAAACAGTAGAACTTTCAAAGAACTAAAAAAAAAAAAAAAAAAAAAAGAATATAACCTCAGAGTAGAGAAGGGTTTCTTACCCCAAACTCAAGGAAACACAGATTGTAAAGGAAAGATTAATAAATTCAACTACATTAAAATGAACTTTCTCTTTATCAAAGGATACCATTAATAAGTTGAAAAGATGCAAGCCACAACTGAGAAAAGTGGTCTGCAACACACACATTGCTGACAGCCGATTAGTATCTAAAACATTTAAGAAAGATAAATTGATAAAAGGTATGAACAAGCATTTCAAAGAAAGGAAAACATGACTTGCTAATATACATGAAAAATGGTCAACTTCAGTTGTAATTAGAGAGCTAGAAATTAAAACCATGTGACAGCATTTTATATGTACCAGGTTGGCAAAATTAACATTTGGAACAATACAGTTTGTGGGCAAGGATACGGAGCCACAGAAACTCTGATGGTCTCAATCTAATTCCCTGCAAAGACCAAGGCAGACATGTATAGTCTAAGTTCTCTAGGGTTTTATCAAACATAAGAAGAAGCTGATTTAACAAAAATCTTATCTGTTCTTCTTAACGAGCACCAAAATATTTTTATTATTTATTTATTTTAGAGATGGGGTCTCACTCTGTCACCCAGGTTAGAGGTCAGTGGCGCGATCTCAGCTTACTGCAACCTCCACCTCCCGGGTTCAAGCAGTTCTCTTGCCTCAGCCTCCTGAGTAGCTGGGATTACAGGTGCCTGCCACCACGCTCGGTTAATTTTTGTATTTTTAGTAGAGACGGGGTTTCACCATGTTATCCAGGCTGGTCTCGAACTCCTGATCTCCGGTGATCTGCCTGCATCAGCCTCCCAAAGTGCTGGGATTACAGGCATGAGCCCCTGTGCCCGTCCACACCAAAATATTTTCAAGCCAAATTGTTCTCTGGTCAAACCTTGAATATTGAGATAGATGTGCTTTATATTTTCAAGGGGAAATAAATACCTGCAGAGAAAAATCCACTGCATCCCAGATGGATACCAGTTTTGTTTATCTTCATCCCAATTTCCAAGGTTAGATAATTCAAAAGAGAACCTTAAGGAATAGCCCTCTTAGATATATTCTGCTTTTATTTCTATTGCAAATGGAAATTGACAAATTGACATACAAAATGAAAAATTAAAACACAAAATATGTAGTGATTGGAATAAAGGAAAAGGCACAAACTGCTAAAATTCTCCATGTTTGAGAGAGAAATCAAGCAACTGAGCCCTGTTATCCCCTAGAAGAATCCCCCGGGGCATCAAGTTGCATCTTGTCATGAACCAATGAGACAGGATTACAGAATTTTTTATTATTTTTTTTTGAGACAGATTCTCGCTCTGTTCCCCAGGCTGGAGTGCAGTCGTGTGATCTTGGCTCACTGCAACCTCCGCCTCCCAGTTTCAAGCAATTCTTGTGCCTCAGCCTCCCGAGTAGCTGGGATCACAAGTGTGCACCACATCTGGCTAATTTTTGTATTTTTAGTAGAGATCGGGTTTCACCATGTTGGCCAGGCTTGTCTCGAATTCCTGGCCTCAAGTGATCTGCCCGCCTCAGCCTCCCAAAGTGCTGGGATTACGGGCGTGAGCCACCGTGCCTGGCCCTTTGGATTACAGAATTTGACGATAATGGGTTCAAAGCTGTCTGGAGGCATAACCTCCGGGGCAGCTGAACAAGATTATAGGAAAGGAATAATAAAATATTCTGAAGTCTGTCTATGCAAACAAACACAGATGTCTACTCTGGAAGAATAAAATGTACCCTAGAATTGCTTTTTTTTTTTTCTAGTATGATTGAGATGTTATGGTAATATTAAAAATGAAAAAAAAAAATCCCAAAAGTCTAACCTAGAATAACTGCACTGATCATATTGCCTTGTTCTTTAAATTCTTAGTATCCAAATAACTTTCAGTATTTAGTGAGACATATTCGTACATACTCTTACTACCAGACAGCCTATTTATTAAACATTCTTAATTCTTGAACTAAACTGAATGGTCAAGTAAGTTACCTAATTAGCCAGGGAAGCTAAAGGAAGTACTAGGAGTTACCATCTTAGGGAAAAATTTCCACACTTGGATTTGAATACTTGTGAAACTCGGTAGCAGTGAACTAGATCTGAATCAATATCTCTGCCTGCAAGTCATATAACCTCTATGAGAGGTTAATGTGGCTCCTGTTTGACTCTGTGTTCTCCATCAGCTAAGCATGTGCATGTGTCATTCATATTTTGTTTTCAGCTTGTTACACTGACAGGAAAATCTCTGCGGAATAAAGAACCAGTTTTCTCAGCCTCTAAAGCTATACTGTATTTGCATATTTCCAAGATTTAAAGAGAACAGTGTTTTCCTTGTGTGGACGGTTCTTCTATTTGTACTGTACTGGAAAACACTGACAGCTACCAAACTGTCTCTCATTTTGTTCCTGCTCATTACTAATTTTGTTGATTCAATAGTGGAAGTGGGGAATTTTTTAATTAGATGGCATATTTCAAAACCATTTTCTTAAAAACCCTGAATAAAATGTCCGACTTTTGTTAAAGCCACTTTGCTTTGTGCATTACATGTTGTGTTTATGAAAGGATTAATATATATAAGCCGATTCTGTTAGGTAGATAAGACCTTCTAGTTTAGCTCTGTTAATTCCATACATGATTGTGCATATGCTTGTGCATACTTGGTTGGTCAAGGATGGAAAGGAATAGCGAAGCTAACTGAGAATCACTTGTTTAAATACATTGATTTTATACAATCTCACTTTGCAGGCCCTGGTTGACACCTTAAAATAAAATAGAATTCTTTAGCTGGTGTTCTCTTTATTTTGTACGTAAGGTAATCCCCTTAACAAACAAGCAAACAAAAACTTAATCTCATTTGTAATACTAACAATTGGAAACAACAGAATGCCCTGTGAGATTTGATTGATTAAGTAAATAACAATGCAACAATATGATTGAATCCTAGGCAGCCATTTCAAGTTGCGATGTATAAGATGGTTTAATGACTTTGAGAATTTTCATAACATACTATAAATTTGAAAAGCCGAGAGTCTATATCCCAAGGCAAATCTGTATGGAAACAAAAAAAAAGCTTTGAAGGATACATGTCAAATATTAATAGTTTTCTTAAGTGGTAGGATTGTATGTGGGTTTTTTCTCTCTTTATGCTTTCCAGTACTTTGTAATTTTTCTCTAATTATTATGTGCAACCTAATTTATTTTTTTCTAACAACATGTAAATTTCAATAATTTATTATTTTGGCTAAAAACATAGAAATGTTTTAATAAACTTTCATAATGAGAAATATATTAAGAAAAAAATCACATTTCTTGTATTTTTATTATCACAGTAGTATTCAATATAATTACAGGCAGGCCTCAAAGATATCTCAGCTCCAGAACACAGCAGTAAGGCAAATAGTGCAATAAAGCAAGTCACAGTGCATGTAACAGTTACATTTATACTGTACTAAGATATATTGGGCGTGCAATAGCATTGTATCTAAAAGAAATAGTGGACATACCTCAATTTAAAATATGTGCTGCTAAAGATGCTGACGTGGAAATACAAAGTAAACACCTACTGTTGGAAAAATGGCACCCAAAAGCTTGCTTGACGTAGGGTTGCCACAAACTTTCAGTATCTCCAAAGCATAAGAAAACAAGGTATGCCTGTATTATAGGCATATGCTTTAAATGCATATATAATTAACAATTTTATGAATATGAATTATATAATAAGCAATTATATTACTGCATACATATGCAAATTGTATATAATATATAATTATCAAACAGTTATTGTATATCACATACTCTGCTAAGCTCTTTATACAAGTTTTCAGGCAGGCAGAAAACATAATCATCGCCACTTTGTAGGTCAGCAAACTGAGGATTTGATCAAGTGCTTTGCCCTCAGTAGTGTTAACCTCTAAGTGACAGATCCCAGCTTTGACCTGGAGCCTAAGTCCCAAGCCCGTGCTCTTAAGCATTGCCCTTTTGTCTTTTACTTTATTTAATTGTTGTCAAATATTAGCAGTGGTTTTGCCTTTATCCCTTTCTTGTCTTCCATTTCTCATTGCAGAAGAAGATGCAAAATTCATTTGAGAGAGAATTATAAAGATTGTCACAATTGAATTGAAGCAAGTGATATTTTTAAATATCTATTGACTAATTATTAGATTGCATTTCACTTATTTTATTGAATGATACAGAATGCATTTCTCTCTCTCTCTCTCTCTTTTTTTTTTTTTTTTTTTTAAGGGACAAAGTCTTTGTTGCCCAGCACTCCAGGCACATTCGTGGCTCACTGCAGCCTCGATTTCCTGGGCTCAAGTGATCCTCCCACCTCAGCCTCCTGAGTAGCTAGGGCTACAGGCACGTGCCACCACACCCACCTGTTTTTCAAAAAAAAATTTTTGTAGAAATGAGGTCTCACTATGTTGCCCAGGCTGGTCTCAAACTCCTAGCCTCAAGTGATCCTCCCACCTTGGCTTCCAGGAGCGCTCGGATTATAGGCATGAGCCACTATGCTGGGCCCATTTCTCTATTTAGAAAGGAAAAGGTGCACTTGGGCTGTGTTAAAGGTTGTGATTCTTAAATTCACACTAAATCATTTCCTTTTTTTTTTTTTTTGTTTTTGTTTTTGAGATGGAGTCTCACTCTGTCACTCAGGCTGGAATACAGTGGTGCAGTCTGCCTCACTGCAACCTCCACCTCCCGGGTTCAAGCGATTCTTGTGCCTCAGCCTCCCAAGTAGTTGGGATTACAGGCACACGCCACCATGCCCAGCCAATTTTTGTATTTTTAGTAAAGACAGGGTTTCACCATGTTGCTCGGGCTGGTCTCAAACTCCTGACCTCAAGTGATCCACCCACCTCAGCCTCCCAAAGTGCTGGGATTACAAGCATGAGCCACCACACCTGGCCAATTTCCTTTTTTTTTTTTTTTTTTTGCAAATTTAGGTGTAGGCAACAAACCAAATATGGCACACATTTGTGTTTCAGGGTCACACCATATGAGCGGTGGCACACACTTGTAATCCCAATGCTTTGGGAGGCCGAGGTGAGCTGATCACCTGAGGTCAGTAGTTCGAGACCAGCCCAGCCAACATGGTGAAACCCCATTTCTACAAAAAATACAAAAATTAGCTGGGCGTGATGGTGTGCGCGTGTAATCCCAGCTACTCAGGATGCTAAAGCAAGAGAATCGCTTGAGCCCGGGAGGCAGAGGTTGCAGTGAGCCAGGATCACACCATTGCACTCCAGCCTGGGTGACAAGAGCAAAACTCCATCTCAAAAAAAAATGAAAAAGAAGTCACAGTTACCCTCTTACTGTAGGCACTTAGGGTTACTTGGGGGTGTATGGAGAAACAGGCATTATTAATGTAGAGCCTTTACTTGTGTGTTTATAAATCTAGGGATTAGCTCTGGTGTCACATTGGGCATCAGTGAAATTCTGTGAAATTCCTTTGATAATTCAATCTCCCCTCTCCCCAATTTTCGTACCATTTCTAGAAAGCATATGCCACTTATTAATGCACAGGTAGTATGCTCTTGTCCGATATTATCTTCTTTCTGCTCTTATGAAATCTAGTACAGCTGGCTTCAATCAAATCATAATACAAATTGCATACTGAAATAAAAAATAATACTCAGTGTTTGTAGCCAGAGACCCCTTTTGGCCCTAAGTATTTAGCTTATATGTATTTTTAGGCACAAGTATTACTTGTTGCAGAATTTTCAACCAAGGAGTGAATGAATATTTAAGAAAAAAAAATCTCGATTGTTTCAGTTCATGCTCTCAGTCAAAGCACATCCCGGCACATTTATACTCATCCATCCTGTGTGGGCGAGGAGGGAAAGCCGTGTTACTACCATGTGAAACTTGCAGTGGTTTTTATTTTTACCCTCTGCACACACACAACAGAGTATTGTTTTGTGAGAAGAATTATGTGTAGGAGTTTTAGAGATCTATTTGTATCCTAGCTCTTTCCTAATTGTATATCCTTAGGGATGTCACTGAACTGTTCTGTATATTTCATCAACTTTAAAATGGAGATAGTGTTAATAGCCTGTTGTAACACAGAAACTTGTTTATTAAAAGTAGGTAACATATGTCGGAGTTACACAGACTTGAAGCCTGCTTCTTCCCTTTCTTTGCTTGCCTCATGAGCACTGTTAGAGCCTTTGGAAAGATACTTCTTTTCCAATGGTGATGCAAAGTTTAGTGGTTTGTCTCTTGGCTTTACTTGTATTTTTTTCCCTAGATTTTTTTAGCTCTCCCTTGTATATTTTTCTGTTCTCTATGTAAAGAAAGATTCATTAAAAATTAATTAGGCCAGGCATTGTGGCTCACGCATGTAATCTCGGCACTTTGGGAGGCTGAGGCAAGCAGATCACTTGAGCCTAAGAGTTTCAAACCAGCCTGGGCAACAGAGCGAGACCCCATCTCTTTAAAAAAAAAAATGTAGCCAGGCATGGTGGTGCACCTGTAGTCCCTGCTACTTGGGAGGCTGAGATGGGAGGATCATTTCAGCCCTGGAGGTTGAGGCTGCAGTGAGCCGTGATCACACCACTGCACTCCAGCCTGGGTGGCAGAGTCAGATCCTGTCTCAAAAACAAATAAATAAAATAAGATTTTTAGTTTTGTATCTAATACATTCAAATAAACTTATACATTTGCCATGTTTATGAGTTCTTTTTTAATTGAAGTGTAATTTACATACATTTGTACAGACCGTGTGTGTGTGTGTGTTTGTGTGTATATAATATAGTTCCCTGAGTTTTGACAAACGTGTATAACCAGTATACCAGTTTAGGTATGGAACATTCCGATCATCCTGGAAAGTTTGGGAAATGTTTTTTTCCACTTAAGAATGGCTCATTTCTCCAGATTCTCGGGTTTTTTTTTTTTTTTTTTTTGCTTTGGGGCAGGTGAATCATCTCTTGTTATCAGCGCCCCTCCTGTAGCTTCTGAGCTACAGTCTTTCTCAATCAGCCTCCTTTTACTGATGACATGCTTCTTGAAGAGGAAAAAGTTTGCTTTCTTTTTCTATGAGAATTTTCCAGTTTTTCGTTTTGTTTTGTTTATTATCTTCCTAGCATCTCTCTTCCTCATTTCCAGGTGATGCTGGCAATCTATTTTACAGTTTAGCACAACCTTTAGACTCTAAAGAGGTCATTTAAAGGTGCTTTCCAATAAGAAGCATTTTAGTGTTGTCTCTGAAATGTTTTTACTCTCCCCCTGCACCACTCAGAATTTACATAGTTTTTGCGTACATAAATGTGCTCTCTCCTCCCCCAAATTTAGTAAAATGTAAAAGTCTGAGTTACTGTCAATTTTGAGATATTTAGGAAATTTAACTCAATACCAAACCAGCCATTTCTTTGAAGTAGAAATAAATATTTCATTTACTTACTTTATTTTGTTTTCCTCTTGGCAAACACATAGTGTTACATTAGTTTAAACTATGTCTGTTATTTTAAGTCAGTTATTTGTTATTTTTTAAAGGCTTCATTAGGTATAAAAGCTATCTGTAAGTCAAGCTTTTAAAGTACTATTGAGATTTGTCAGCCATAATTCAATTTTTATTCTTTGAATCAAGACCTAAACTAGTACCTTTAGAGTAATATTGCAAATGAGCACTACTTATTAGAACTGTTTTTGAAAGTATGCAAAGTGTGTTTGTTCTACCTTGCCTTGTATATTTACACCTCTTCGATTTTGCTTTATGAGGAGCAAAAGAAACTGTCACTATTTGCTGTAAATTGAAGCTTTTAATAACTAAGTCTTTTCTACAACATTTGTCAGCTTTGAATATTCTGTCAGTGGAAAATAAAAATAGCAGGGAAACCCAGCAGTGGTGACACTGAGAATTTATCTGCTTATGCTACACTAAGGTAAAAAAATAAAATCTTCAAGGGTGAGCATTTGACATTTTTCTTTCAAACAAAGTACATTTGAACTGACACTTCCTTGAATAAATTTTAGATGAAAAGTTGGCAAAATAAATGAATAAGTTTCATCATTAAACACAGAACACCTTTTAACCTAGAAACAAGAGAATAAAGAGGTTGCTTCATATCATTGATTCAATCCTGTATGCCTTGTTTGACATGAGCTTGAAAAATAAGCTTTATAAATACATAAAAAGGAACATCATAGCTCAGTAGTAAAAACGTTGATGCATATGGCATTTAAAGTTTTAAACTATTTCATAGTAAAAATTCATGTGCAGATCATCTTGAATATGTGACAATAAAAATTAATTTATCTAATAAAGATGATTCAAGTAAATCAAATCTAAATTCCATACTCCACATTTTTGTTCGTAAATTGTGTGCATCCGTTATAAATATTAAAAACATGAATGAAATATACATTATGAAAAACTCCTGCTTTCTCTTTTTGGATAAAAACATTGAAAGTTTTTCAGCCAGGTGCAGTGGCTCACGCCTGTAATCCCAGCACTTTGGGAGGCCAAGGCAGGCAGATCACGAGGTCAGGAGATCAAGACCATCCTGGTTAACACGGTGAAACCTCATCTCTGCTAAAAATAAAAAAAAAAGTAGCCGGGTGTGGTGGCGGGCGCCTGTAGTCCCAGCTACTCAGGAGGCTGAGGCAGGAGAATGGCGTGAACCCAGGAGGCGGAGCTTGCAGTGAGCCGAGATTGTGCCACTGTATTCCAGCCTGGGAGACAGAGGGAGATTCTGTCTCACAAAAAAAAAAAAAAAAAAAGCTTTTCAGGACTCCTTATTAGTGCTGACTTCCAGTTTTAGTTAGATCTGCTTCTTGTTCTTCTGCCTCTTTCTTTTCTTTGCCTGTCTACTTGTAAGTCTCTTCTCAAAAGATGCCTTTATCATTGTCTTTATGAATAACAGTGAACATTTATGGAGGACCTACTGTGTGGCAGGTTTGATAAATGTAACAATAGGTCAGCGCTATTTTGAGGAGGAAGAAAAATGTTGTTGGAAGTGTGCTTAACTATGCTACTGTATAATCTTCACTTAAACTTCTGTTATAATAGAAAGGTGATTAATGAGACCCCATGAACCTGCCTCCTCCTGTCAACCTTTTGACGTGTCTGCAAATATACAGAATTTTAAAAATAACCTCTCAGTGAGCTAGAGATAGTCTCAGCTTTTACAGAATGGACATGCCTGCATCTTTTAATTTAGCTTTCTGTTAGCGTGATTCCATTCTTACAGATTGAGCCTGAGGGAAAGAGAGAATTATTGTCAAAATAAATGAGATAATTACATGTGTGTAATTTTACAAAGCGCTCTACAACTGTGTTTGTCAGTGATGAGAAATGCCTAGTTCTAAAAGTTCCTTGGGAAGGAGTGGAATTTGAAGAGTTTTAGATGGCAAGATGTGTTTACTTTTGGTTTTAAACAAAAGTCCTAGTGTAGTGTTAGGGCCTGGTTTTTCACAGTGATAAATTGGGACTTTATTGCTGTATGAATGGTGGGGTTTTTTCCCCCAAAAATTAAATCTCCTTATGTCTCTTATGAAATCTCATTTCAAACAAGATTACAGGAGTCATTTCTGGTAAAATTTGGACATTAACACACATTAGTGATTTGTGAAGATGGTTGAATTTTTTGTACGGAGAATTTTTATACTAAATTCAGTAAATAGTTCTGTTGTGCCGTGTGCCCCCTAGAAAAATCACGTGCCTATAAAGAACTTAATAGGGAAAATTGAAGATAATGATTTTCCTCTTTGGCAGTTTTGTCGCTGATTTGCAAGGTAGTAACAGGGCATTTGAGTTCATTTTCTGTTTTGTGTGTGCCCCTTCCATATTGCAAAGTTACAATTTTTATTTGCTTTTGTCTTTTTTTAGTAGTCTGATTTCGAGTACCTCTTAGGAGTTACAAAGCTGTCAGGTACAATATTTCTCTTTTAAAGACTGATAAGATTTTCCCCTTTGAATATGCTTTTTCTTTTTAATTGTGTTACTTGATTTGGATAAATAAGCTACTCCAATTGTTTGGATAATGAAATAAGATGCATATCTCTGAGAAGGAGACTGATTTAATTCCTCGTTTTCATACATGCTGAATATGCCTTCGTGATTCATAAGAGCCATTTCTAATCTGCATTTTGTTAGGGTATTTGTCTTGCTTCTAAATAAAGAGAATGAAAACCTTTTTAAGTTAAGACTGCATTGATGGTTCAAAAAATAAATTAAAATAAAGATGAGATTGTTTAAATCTTTGATTAATAAGCAAGCTCATAAAGTTCTTGTGAATTTTAAGGGAAATAGTTAAATGGATTTTTCCTAACCATTTAAAAGTCTCAGAACGGAATCATTTTATAGAGTATCTACTGGAAAGAGGAAAGTGAATATACCACAGAAGTCTTTCTTTATAAATAAATGAAATCCTAAAGTCATCTGCTAATGACTTTTATACTAATGCTTTTATAGTTGTGACTTGGGTAAACTGTTTAACATTTTACAGCCCACGGTTTCCTGTTCTTAATAGTAAAGCAAAGCTATTTATTTATTTATTTATTTATTTATTTATTTATTTAAAGTATCTTGGTTTTCAACAATAAACTGTGAAAGCTGGCAGCTCTTTGTTCTAAATCTTCTGAATATAGTCCAGGTACATTTAATTTTCTGGAAAGCAGTGCTTTCAAGTAGAATAGTGAATAATTGAATTTCCCATTTGATTTTAGAAAAAAAATGAATTCCCATTGTTTACTTTAGCCATCTGTTCATCTCCCTTCTTCACTGTTGTCCCCTTCCTGCCCTTTCAAACAAGCCATAGACTTGGCTAACTGTAGACTACAGCTTCTCCTCCTCTCTCTCAAATGTGGAGGCTCGTAGCAAACTTTGACCTATCTTCGTAGGCAATGTGAAGGAGAAAAGCAATAAGCTCTCTGCCCAGAGTCAGCACATTAGCATTTGAGAAATCAGGTTATCTGACTTTGGTTGATTGAGCTGCCTTTGAACTGCCTTAGTTTCCCCAAAATGATCATTCTTTGTGAGATGGAAGACAAAAGTGATTCAAAGACACTTCATTCAGAAGAAAGCACGTAACGCTAGGTGTGGAGGCTAGTGCCTGTAATCCCAGCACTTTAGGAAGTGGAGGCAGGAGGATGGCTTGAGCCCAGGAGTTCAAGACCAGCCTAGGCAACATAGTGAGACCTAGTCTCTTAAAAAAAAAAAAAAATTTTTTTTTTTTTTAAATTAGCCAGGCACAATGGCTCATGACTGTAGTCTCAGCTACTTGGGAGGCTGAGGTAGGAGGATTGCTTAAACCCAGCAGGTCAAGGCTGCAGTGAGCCCTGAGCAGGCCACCACACTCCAGCCTGGGTGACAGAGCAAAACCTTGTCTCAAAGAAAAACAAGAAAAAGAAGAAAGCACACAGTTTAGCAGTCATCCCAATTCCTGCCTATGTGCCAGTCAAAGAATAGTCAGATGCCAAAGAGCTCATGTGGTGGTGGAGTTTTTTTTAAATAGCTTTATTGAGATAAAATTCACATCCCATACAATTCACTCATTCAAAATGTGCACTTCAGTAGCTTTTTATATATTCATACAGTTAGCATTCATCCCTACAGTCAATTATAGAACATTTTATAATCCCCCCAGAAGATGCCACAACCCTTAGCATCACCGCCAACTTCTCTTCCCCCAGCCCTTGGCAACCACTCATCTACTCTCTGTCTCTCTACATTTGCCTGTTCTGGACATTTCATATAAATGGAGTCATACCATATGTTAGTACTTAATTCCTTTTTATGTCTGAATAACATCATACTATATGGTTTTACCATGTTTCTTTGTCCATTCACAAATTGATGGATATTTGGGTTATTCTGGCTATTATGAGTAATGCTTCTGTGAACATTTCCGTACAAGTTTTTGCATGGACATACGTTTTCATTTGTCTTGGGCGTGTACCTAGGAGTGGAATTGCCGGGTCAAATGGTAACTATGTTTAACCGTTTGAGGAGCAGCCAGACTCTTTTCCAAAGCACCTGCAACCACTTTACATACCTATCCACAATGTGTGAAAGTTCCAGTACGGGCTGGGCGCGGTGGCTCACACCAGTAATCCCAACACTTTGGGAGGCCGAGGCGTGTAGATCACGAGGTCAGGAGATTGAGGCTATCCTGGCCAACATGGTGAAACTCCATCTCTACTTAAAATATAAAAAATGAGCTGGGTGCATTGGCACGCATATGTTAGCTACTCAGGAGGCTGAGGCAGGAGAATCGCTTGAACCTGGGAGGCGGAGGTTGCAGTGAGCCGAGATCACACCACTGCACTCCAGCCTGGAGACAGAGAGAGACTCCATCTCAAAAAAAAAAAAAAAAGTTGCAGTACCTCCACATCCTGGCCAACACATGTTACCATCTGACATTTTGGTTCCAGCCCCATTTCACACCCACTGGTATGAAATGCTATCTCATTGTGGTTTTGGTTTGCGTGTTGATTCCAGCCTCATTTCACACCAGTGTGATGTCTCGTTGTGGTTTTGATTTGCATTTCCCTAACGGCTTTGATGCTGGACATCTTATCCATGTGCTTACTCACATATTTTAATATTATTAGTTACAATGCCTTGCAAGCTAATGCTTGCCACCATGGTATCTTTGAGACTGTTACTCAGAAGTATTGACTGACATGTGCCATGTAGTAACCCCTGGAGCTGGAAGGAGCTTGAGGCCCTGCCTCGGTGACATACAGGGTAGGAGGAAGGAAAAAAACACTTTAAATATATGAAATAAAGTGTTCGGGGAGCTACGATGGAAGTGTGTGCGGGGACCAATGGGAACATCAGGGTGGAAGGGTTTGATTCTGCTGGAGAGAAGGGACTTGATCGGGGCAAAAGAGTCAGAGAGGAGGTGATGGTTCATCTGTAAACAATGATGTTTCAGTCATTGAACCAAGAAGGAGGATACCAGGATGAATAAACCACGGCTCCTGACTGTACGGATAGTGAGCAGGGGCTGTTTTGAGTCTTGATTCTTGACAGTTAAGATGTTTGAGGCCACAGTTGAACACAGCGTTCCTGACCTGGTGTCTTTCTCCTTTACTGAAACCCTCCCAAATGGGGAACGGGCTTTCTCCTATCACTCAGAAGGGGTGGGATATCACAAAACACCAGAATGAGAGCTGTGCCCAGTGGTTCCAGAAACTGCTTTCTTGCTGTTGCTTTTGTTGTAGTTGTGGTTTCTGTTTTGAATGCACATTTATATATGTATGTGTGTGTGTGTGTGTGTGTGTGTGTGTATATATATATACACATATATGTATATACACATATATATACACATATATGTATATACACATATATATACACATATATGTATATACACATATATATACACATATATGTATATACACATATATATACACATATGTGTATATACACATATATATACATATATGTGTATATACATATATGTATATACACATATATGTATATATACGTATATATTTTAAAACCTTCTAGACAAAATGTGACTTGTTTTTGTTGTTTTTTTTGTGACAGAGTCTCGCTCTGTCGTCCAGGCTGGAGTGCAGTGGCGTGATCTCGGCTTACTGCAACCTCCGCCTCCCGAGTTCAAGTGATTCTCCTGCCTCAGCCTCCCAAGTAGTTGGGATTACAGGTGTGCGCCACACGCCTGGCTAATTTTTGTGTTTTTAGTAGAGATGAGGTTTTGCCATGTTGCCCAGCCTGGTCCTGAACTCCTGAGCTCAAGCGATCCGCCCGCCTCAGCTTCCCAAAGTGCTGGGATTACAGCGTGAGCCACCGCACCCAGCCACATTGTGACTTGTAATCTTTGATTTATGAGAGATGAAGTGACTATCCTAGGTCTGTTGCATACATGAAAGAAATTTTTTCTTTTGGAAAAGTTTATTTTCCAATGAAATGTTTGGATTTTCAGGATTTTTCATTATTATGATTCATTCTTTTTCTGATATCTTCTATGACATTTTGGAGGAAAAGATGAGCTTTTGGGAAACATGCAAACAAACAAAACCACCTTTGGTACTAAATCTCACCTAGAATGAATACTTCTGCATTTTAAAAACTCTCCAAGATATGGTTTAAAAGATGAGAGTAGAAGTGACCTTCACCAACCTTGCTAGCCCAAATCCTTATTTATGTTTACGAAATTTGCAACTCTGACATGATATTTTAGAAAGCCATATAAAATGATTTTGCCCATTGGTTATGGTGTTTAATGGCTTAAGGAAAAATATATTTGTATCTTGAAACTTCTGGACCCATTCCAACAAGACTGCTTTTTCCCCCCTTTAAGATATATGAGGAAGCGTGTTGAGAAATCAGAGCTATTAAATATTATCATACAATTTCCTTGATTTCATTTTCTTGCAGATAAAATTAGACCAGGAATATAGGGTTTTCTGGAATGCTTTCATGAAAAAATAGGTGATTGCAGAAATGCCATGAAATAATTAAATCTCAATTATTTGTACTGGTGTTTTCTTAAATGTAATTTAACCTGTCACAATACACATTTTTGCTTATCAGATCACTTTTATTAATAGGATTGAGAAAATGTTCACTCTTACTTCCTCCTGCTATGAATATTGCTCTCCTGTTCACCATAAATATTCCCTTTCCTTTTCTTCTTTCTGCAGATCCATTTAGCGGGCAAAATCAGAACACTGCGCTATGTGTGGCAGTTAATGCCACAGGTCTGGGAGACCCAGAGCCTGGTTTCTGTTCTAGAGTCACTACTTTTTAGCTGTATGACCTTGAGCAAGACCTTTAAGTTCTCTTAGGGCTCAATTTCCTCTTCCGTAACATGTAAAGTCTGTTATAGCACATATATCCAAGCACTACTTTGAAGAATAATAAGATAGTGCAGAAAAACACACACAGCCAGGTATCTGGCACGTGGGAAATGCCACTCACGTAATGTGTAATCACCGTATTTGTGGTTATGTCTCCTTAGGGTAGGAAAGGGGAGTGTTTAAATTCAGATCCCTCAGACTATCGAGAAACATGTTTGTTGTGGAGATGACTCACTTTGAAAACATGAACTTCCTATATAATTTGTAAGTCATTTTCATTGGGGAGCATAGTAGTGAGTTGTAGATAGGAATTGCCTCAGCTTATAGTTATTGACAGCTTTGCAGGTGCCAAATACAGCTCTAGGGACTATATAATCACTCTTCAGTAACCATAGGGGATTGGTTCTAGGACCCCCCCCCACCACCCTCTGCCCACCTTACAATACCAAAATCTGCAGATGCTTAAGTCCCTGAAATAAAATGGTGTATTTGCATGTAACCTATGCACATCCTCCCCTATACTTGAAATCATCTCTGGATTACTTGTAATACCCAATATGATGTCAACGTTATGTAAATAGTTGTTACACTGTATTGGTTAGAGAATAATGACAAGTTTTTTTAAAAAAAAAAATCTTCACTTGTTCAGTACAGACGCAGCCATCCATTGTTTTTTCTTTGAGTATTTTTTTTATTTGGAGTTGACTGGGCTTGCAGACATGAAGGGCTGAATATACTTGCATTCTCTACTTTAGCCTTAACAGCGACCCTTTAAGGCAGGTGCTCTTAGTATGCGCATTTGGAGAACCATGTTCCAAGTCTGTTATGTAGATTTGGAAACTGAGACACAGAAAAGTTAGCTAACTTTCCCAAGATCACAGAGTTAATAAAGGCAGATAGGTAACTCTATGGGCTGTTTTGCATACTGCTCACTTTATGTTATGTGAGTGAGAGTGAATATGAAATACAAGGTGTTTGTCATTTTAATTCTTGGAAGGAGGAGAAGTAAGGCAATAAGAGTTCCAATATACTTGTTTCTAACCTAATTTTGTATGTAATATATAATTTATATATTTTAAGTCATGCATTCATTATTATAAATAAAGCTTCTGCCCACAAAGTACTAAGTTAATAATCTAGCCAATTTTTTAATGTATGAGCATTATTTATGTACTGAAAATAACTTTTACATCTTCAAAGTATCTACTAGGAATCATTGAAGCAAAGGGTAGCTATCATTTTTAAGGCAATGATGGTATTTCATGTCTCAGTAACAGATCACATCTTCCATGCTCTTCTATAAATTGTTATTTATGTGTTTGAAGTCATCCAGACAAATCCATATCACCCCCATAGCTGGGCATTACTGAGTTCATATACTGTATTATGATTATTAAATAAACTAGTTCTGTACAGATTCACAACTGTCCTTCAAGGTGATATCTCTACATAGCCGTGCTGTTTTACAAATCCCATCATTATGAAAATATTAATTTTTTTTGTCTCCTAAGTAAAGTAAGCAGTAAACACTTGTACTTATCAAAAAGGACTTGTTAACATTTCACCTCTTAAAATTAACATTTTAATTATAAGCATTGGTAGTTTTTTGTTTTGACTTGTTATTTAAAGAATAAGCATGAAATTTTACTGTACATAAATTATACTTCAATAAACCTGGCTTTTAGAAGGCAAAGGAATGCATAACTATTGGAAAGGTTGAGACTGGCGAAGAAGTATGCATAAATTCAAAACGGAATTTACAAGGATTTTGTTTGATGCGGTGGTTAGTCTTTTGGAAATAGGTTTAAGATTAGTGCTTTTACATACATAATATATGATTTCAGGGTCCATTTAGAGAATATTTATCTGTATGACTAGAAGAGAATGTTACAAATTGAATTTTAAGAATAATGCTCTAATTTTACATAACGCCAAGCATGATGTTTCTTTGTTTACCTACCATATTAAAAGACATGCCATCCTGGATATCATTAATGGCCAAAAAACTTAAGACGAAAGTGGCTCTTCCCCCAGCATGCAGCAGACAGTCTATGAAAAATCACTGATAGGAAAGGTTAGAGACTCAAAAATCTATCACTGGTAATAGATTCCTATTGCTAACCAGAGTCCAAGGTGAGAAGCTGGCATTGGTGCAGTTTCTGCCTGCAAGATGCCCTCTGTGGGTCTCCGCAGAGCAGCACGTTGTTTTTCTACAGCTTCTCTGGATTATCCTGTTTGGTTTTGCATACATTTATTACCATGTCCCTTGCCTCTTTTCCTCCTCCCTACCTGCCTGCCTTAGCTCATCTCACTGTTTTTTTCAGTAACGTTATTACAGAGAAAGTGGATTTCAGTATTCCTCTCTATCAGGTGATGCGTCAGGTGACAGAGAAAATCAGAATCAGACTGAAATCAGACTGCTGCCTGTTATCAATTCCATCTCTGTTTCCATATCCTAAAAAAATCAAGAGCAGCAGGATGTTTTTATAAACCTGTAATACCAAGTTTATGAAAGTTAGCTGAATCTTAGATTGTCAGCGCTAAAAGGAATCCTGTGGGACACTTTTCACACTTGGAGCAGCCAGCTTGTCAGAGGGTCCTGGGCCAGGTTCCAGGCCCTGCTGCCCGCTCTGCTACATGGATCAGGTTTCTGATGCCTTACCCTGCTCAGAGCCAAACTGTACAACCCAGCCCGTGCCTTCCTGCTCTCCTGCCTGGATGGGAAGTCGGTCTGCTGTGAAAGTGGGCACGACTGCTACTGGATGTGAACCTGGGATGAATATCCCTGGGTAGTAGCAGAAGTTGAAGAATTACCCAGGCTTTCAGGCTCCAAGTCACATTCTGGGAAGGCAGGGGCTGTTGTTGGCAATGGAAATCTGGCCTGAGAGTTTCAGAGAGCCAGGTTCATTAATGGGCCCACCCAAGCCCTGGCTGTGTGCTTGTCCTAATAAAGATGTACTTACAACAACCAATTCCATATGCAGATGTGAGTGTGGGTGTGTGAATAACCTTTTTAATTTTTTTTTTTTTTTTTGAGATAAAGTCTCACCCTGTTGCCCACGCTGGAGTGCAGTGGCACAGTCTCGGCTTACTGCAACCTCCGCCTCTTGGGTTCATACGAGTCTTCTGCCTCAGCCTCCCGAGTAGCTGGGACTACAGGTGCCTGTCACCACGCCCGGTTAATTTTTTGTATTTTTAGTAGAGATGGGTTTCCACCATGTTGGCCAGGCTGAAACTTTTTAAAGTCTTCAATCTGCTTTGAGGAAACAAACAACCTGAAAACATAACCAATTAGTTGGTGGACTGTAGTGTTGTCAGGTGATTCCATTTGTGATCCTAGAGCCTGAGTGTTTATTTTATTTCATTTTAAGTTCCAGGGTACATGGGCAGGAAGTGCAGGTTTGTTACATAGGTAAACGTGTGCCATGGTGGACTGCTGCACCTGTCAACCCATCACCTGAGTATTAAGCACAACATGCATTAGCTAGTTTTCCTGACGTAGAGCCTGACTTTAATGGTGGCCATGGTGGGAACAATGATACTACAAGCCTTCTTCCCTAATAATAATGCTGTGGGAGGACCCATTGTTCAATTCCATTCTTTCAGTCGCAGCATTGCCTCAGAACCTGTTTCATGTTTATGACAGGCCCTTGGCTAAGGGATTCAGTGGTGCCTGAAGACAGGGAGCTTCATAAATAGATGTAAGCTCAAAGCATGGTGAATCAGGCTGTGCTATGAGAGCTTGTAACAGGGGACCCAACAGCCAGCTGAACCCCTGAAGAGGGGCAGGAGCTAACCAGGTGAAGGAATGAGAAGGCAGGTACCATCCGGGTGTGAGCCTGGAAGGCATTCCCAGCAGAGAAAAGCACACATGCGAAGGCCCTGTGGCAGCAGGGGGTAAGGCCCATTTGAGAAATTGACTATGCTTGGAGTAGTCACCAGTGGTCCCAGGGAAGGTCAGAATGCAAGCAGGGGCTACCTTATTCCAGGCCCAGTGGCCCATGTTCAGGATTTTTATCCTCTAGTAGCAAATGTGAAAGGGCAGGGGTGTGATCAGATTGACTTTTTGAAAAGATTGCTTTAGACTCTGTGCATAGAATGAGGTGGAGAGGCCGGTTGCTAGGCTATTTCAGGAGCCAGATGAGAGACAGTGGAAACTCAGACCAGGGGGATGATGAAGAGGTTAACAAAGTTACTTAGGGTTGAGAATTTGGCAGCACCTAAGTGATGATTAGATAAGAGGAGGTGTGAAATATCAAGGGTTGTTTCTCGGGGTTATGCTCCCACCACAGGCAAAATAAATACAGGATCTAAAATTAAAAATGCAATTCTAAATGACCAGAGTCCAGCATTTATCCTCTTTCTCTCCCTCTCCTTCCTTCTTTCTCCTTTTCCTTCCCTCTCTTCCCCTGTCATAATTTTTCTGATTTTCTGGTTTAAACTCAGGCAGAAAGATTGGGTACTTCTAAAGAAACTTTGGAAACTTTGGCCCATAACTTTGTAGATACCCAATGCTAGATCGGTTCCCATTAATATGAAATGGAATTTTGATATGAAACCTTTCTAAAATATATTGTCTCATTTATATTAAAAAGCATACAACTTCTGAGCATTTATTTGAAGCTCGCTGGTGAGATAAAACATGAGCTGGCTGGGTTGTTTCTAGGTGCTAAACCAAATGTCCGCTTGAATTGCGGTGTTGCTGTAAATATTTCCAGGCACAGACAGATAGATGCAATAGGAAAAACCTGAACAAATTCTTAGGATGCCAATATTGTCACAAAGTCTCCATGCAGAATGAAGTTGTTTGACAAAGTGTTTCCCTGGTGATTTGGCTGCAGATGAAAATGTCTTTGGCAATAAAATTTCATGCCCGAGTCTCAGCTCTGTGCTCTCATCAGTCAACAAATGACATATCAAGGATCCCTTTTGCTGTATTAGTTAATATGTTGGCAGAAATATGTGAAACATTGTTATTCCCCTCCAGTTCTGTGCATAGATTTGTTTCTACCTTTAAACCCGCATTAATTGTACCAAAATATTTTGCCAGCTATAATTTAATACTAATCAATAGGATTGCCTTAGAACAGAGATAAAAGGTTCTTTATTACAAGGGTTCTCTTACTTCACCAGTATTAGAAGATATAATAGTAAGGGCTGCTGTTTTGCCATCGTTTGAAAATGGTTTGAGGGAAATTTAAGGATTGGTAAGGCAATTAGTAGTGAAGCATATTTTAATTATAGTAACTGGATAAGCTGCTTTCAGCTTTATGGATTAATACGTTATTGTTTAATAGGCCGGAGTCACGTGTGATTTTGATCACACTTCTCACTGTAGCCACAGTTTTATTAGCAGTGGTGTTTTATAACTTAATAATTTATACATAATGAGTTCAGAAGTTCCATTTACATGATATCCAAGAAATAATTTACCCCATACATTACCACTCGTCAACAGGAAAGAAGTCCTTCAGGATCACAACGAAATAACTGTCCGAGATTGTTTTGCATTAAAGGATACTTTTAATAATGAGATCATTTTACACTGCATTATGTTATTTCTGTTGATGCCAAGTCTGGGTTTTACAAAGTCATTTAAAACACAGGAGGAAGATGAATCACAATAATTTCACACATATTTAATAAGCATGAATTATCCACTGAAGTCTACATCCATTCTTTAAGTTGTGAAAACCATAAGGTGTTTGAGTTAATGCTCTGTTGTAGAATTTTCTCGTCTAGCGCGGCCCTCCTCCGTGCACCCCACCATTCCCGCCAGGCCTCCTCGCATTTCAGAAGCTGTTATATGGACGAGATTGAGCTGTGTGTATTTTAATGACACGTGTGTCATGGTTTAGCTTAGGGTTTGCAAAGCCTCTGTATATGCTAGCCTCTGGGCATCCATTACCATCTCCGAGAACACAGTCTCATCTCATCCAAAACGAACCTCTCAAAGAGCCCCCTGTGAGGACACCTTGGGGCCCCTGTCCTTGTGCGGAAGCAAAGAAACTAACACTCGGTGATTGACTACTTTACAGCAGATGCCGTGCTAGTTTATACTTGTCATTTTCCTAAGGATTTTTTTTGAACTCATAAACCCACTGGGGTTTCAGTTCTGCAAAGTCTTTTGAGGCCACGATGTGTGATATTGCAGAATCTTTTGGCGGGGATGATCTGCGTAAGACACAAGGATGTTAAAAGGTACTACACACATGCGCGCGAAAAAAAGGCATTACGTTCAAATGAGCTTGGAAACCTTGGCGAGACTGTTTTCTGATATGCAGTTGTACATCATGAGTGTCCAGGGAGCCGACCCAGCTTGCAGCATTTCCCAAACTTAATTGACCATAGAACCCTTTTTGGAAGAGTAGCTTAACTTCAAGTTCTTTGCCTATAAAATATATAAATCTAAATCAAAATATATGAAAAAGTACATCGCTACAATCTTCTGGCCACCACTCAAATTTTATCAGGGCAGAAAAGACAAGGTATGTTCAGGTGATTTACAAGCTGGAAAGTACCATAAAAATGCAACAGATGATGATTTTTTTCTCCTTTGGTCTTTTTGGAAACAGTGTGGAAGAAATGATGTGCCCATGCTTTAATTGTTCAGAGTCTAGGGATGCGGGTACTGTTCTTTGTGTTCCTTTATTCTTCCTATCCAACTCTCCTCTCTGCTAGGAAAATCACTTTTTTTTTTTTTGAGGATCCATATTACTAATTGCAGAAAATTGCCGTTAGTCAGCGCTTGGTCTTGAGTTCTCATTTTAAGTGGCTTTACTAGTCATGTTTACGCGGTCATCTAAATGCTCACTCTTATAATGCCTAGAATGGCTTCTCTTCATAATGGGGCCCTATGATTATCTGTGTGTTCCCTCTGTTTTCCATGCTCTGCTTTTCCAGCATGGCCTAAGGTTTACTAAAAGAACAAAACTAAAAAACAGGGAGTCTTGTGTCTTACACAGATCATCCCCGCCTAAGGATTCTCCAGTATCACACATCATGGCCTGAAAAGACTTCGCAGAACTGAAACTCCAGTGGGTTTATGAGTTAAAAAAAAAAAAAAAATCCTTAGGAAAATGACAAGTATAAACTAGCACGGCGTCCACTCTTAAGGGAGTCAGGATGGGGGAGCAAAGTTCACTGCAGATTCCCCGCTGCACAGGTTGGTAGATGGCAGGCCCCTGCGTAAACCCCATTTTGGTCCAACCTCCTGATCCCTCCTGTCTAACTAGTTTACACTCACAGTGGCATGTTCATGAATGTTTACTGAATTAACAGATAACTGTGGATATCATAAAAGTGCTCTTTTTATTTCATGTGGGGGCAAGATTGAATTTCTTCATGGTTTGATTTGGTGCAGTTGAAACTGCTTATGGTGGCTTGGAGAGCAGTGGCCTCAGCTAGCTAATTTGTTAATAATGTGGTTTATCTGTAATGCTTTGGTTGCAGGAAATAAAGGAACATGTTCCACTCAATACAAGCATAGCCGTTTTTTTATTATTCATTCATTTATTCAGCCAATATTTATAGTGCCTGTTTCTTACAAAAGGGAATAAAATACAGAATCCCTGTCCTCATGCAGTTTGGAGTCTAGTGGGGAGACAAACAGTGAACAGATGGCTGTGTATTGTGCCCAATGGTGGGTGATAAGAATGTGAGGGGTAGGGGATGTGAGGGAAGGAGATTGCGCAGTTATAGCGGATCAAAGAAGACCTCAGAGACCTAAAGGATGTGCAGAAATTTAGAGAAAGAATGTTTCAGACAGTGGGACTGGCAAGTGCACCCACCCTGCCCCCCAGGGATAAGCAGCTTCACACAGGAGAGAGCTAGGAGACAGATCAGATAGGAGGTCTCCTGCACCATTTGAAGGAGTTTGGCCTTTGTTCACAAGGAGACCCGAAAGCCTGGGTGGGTTTTAAGCAAAAGAGTGACAAGATCAGAGTAATTTTTTCAAAATGATCACTGCTACAAGGAGGTAAAAAGGGAAGCGCAGAAAACAGGAGGCAACTGCAATCATCCAGGCAAGAGCTGAAAGTGGCTTGGCCCAGAGTGCCAACCACAGACAGGATGAGAAGTCGTAAAATGCTAGGTATTTATTCGAAGCGGGAGAGGGACAGAGTTTGGCAAAGAATTGGATGTAGGTTGGGAGAGAAGGAGAGGAGTCAGGGCTCACTTTATATTTTAGCTGAGCGACTTGAAGAATGATGTTGGCATTACTAAGATGGGGGAATATTGAGAGTGAACAGATTTGAAGGAGGGGGCAGTTTGGGGATAGTTAAAGGTGAGCTGCCTCCAGATATCTAAGTGGAGATATTCAGTAGGCAGGTGGCTCTAGGCATCTGGAGGCAGGATTGAGATCTTGGCTGGAGATAGAGATGTGTTGTTGGTTGATAATGATGAGTCTGGAAGAGATCACTTAGCAAGTGAGTATAAAAAGAAGAGAAGTACTTCATACACCAAGCCTGGAGGCACCAGCAGCAAGAGAAGAGACTAGCACAGGAAACTGAGGAGGAGCAGCCAGTCATGAAGAAAACCGAGAGGGCGCAGTGTCCTGGAAACCAAGGGAGTTGAGTATCTCCAGAAGATAAACGTTGTTCGCTTTGCCCACTGCTGTTGATGACTGGAGTAACATTAAGAGGGAGAGGTTGCCTTTGGAGTTGAGGATGTGGAGGTCCTAGCAAGGCCAGGAGCTGGCTTTGGTGACGAAATGGGGCTAGAAGCTTACCCGTGATGGGTACAACATGGATAAGCCCTTGAAGAGTTTATTCCAAGTGAAGGCAAATAAATTGCAATTGCTGGAAGAGGATGTAGGGTTAAGGAATGGTGTTTTTAAGAAAGGCAGTAGCACAATGTGTCTTTTGTAATTGCAGTTGGCTAACAGAGTGGGGACAATGAGGTAGGAGATAGGACCAGTTGCTGGGACAGTATCATTTTGCAGAGAAAAGGGATTGGGATCTTGAATGCCAGTGGAGGGACTGGCCTTGGCCAGAGTCCCAGCGACAGGGGAAAAGGCAGAATGTATAGTAGCAGCATGGTAGGCTGCTAAGGGTGTGGGGACCAGACAGAAGTTCTCTTTGGAGTGTTTCGGTTTTCTCAGTGAAATACGAAGCAGGGTTATCAGCTAGCTGAGAGGGAGGATGGAGGAGAAAGTATTATCATATTAGAGTTTTGCAGAGAGAGGAAAGGATATGAAATAGTTGGTTAGCAGAGGGATAGAGAATGGACTGAAGAAGAAAAGTAGAAAGATGATAATTCAAGAGGTGATAACTCAAGAAAATTGAAGTTTCTCTTCTCATTGCTGCATCAGGAGAATTTGGTTTGGATATTGGCAAAAGCAGCCAATATTCCATTGCACATGTATACCACAATTTGTGTATTTCATTTGCCTATATTGGGCATGATTGTTATTTCCAGTAGGAGGCTGTTACGAATACAGCTGCTGTGAACATTCATTTATGGACGTCCGTTTTCTTCCCAGAAGCAGAATGGCTGGGTCATAGAATAGGTATATAATAACTTGGTAAGAAACTGCCAAACAATTTTCTGAAGTAGTTGTTCTGTAAAAGTAACCAGGCAAATGTTTCAGCCCTGAAGATAGAAAATGAGCTATAATAAATGAAAAGTAGAAATTTACAAGTTAGAAATTTAGATAGAATTTCTATCACTATAGAAAGTCAGCTTCTGTCGTTTCTACTTAGCCACAGCTAAGTCTTAGCAAATCTTAGGAACATCACCGAACATCCATGGACTCAATTTCCTTAGGTAATTGAGGTAACTGGGTGACCTGTAAGGTCCCTTCCAGACCCCACATTCTTTGATTTTTGGTGGAATTGTGCCAAATGGTAATGGATAGAAAGACACCTCTGTGTACATTTTTATCCCATGGGAGTTGAGCAGCATTTAATATACTGGACACAGTAAGAAAAAATCTAGAACATAAGATGCAGAGGCAAAAGGATGAGGCTGCTACAAAGTATATACTTTTGTGTGAAAATCACATATTCTTTCAAAAAACCATTGTAAGGTGATACAGGACTCTACTCGTGTGTAAAAAGTTATATACCTATGAATAGCTCCAATTCTGTTTTAATTATAACAAATACCGGGAGATGCATTTGGATGGTTTGAGGAAAAAAAGGTTGCGCATCCACTGTTTGGAATCTTGTGGCTTGTTTTGAAGCCAGCGTAACAAAACATTTGCCTCTATTACTTTTGCAGTACTGCTGGGCAAGTGTTTTGTCTGCCTGGGCTCTCTCTAGCCAGGAGAGAAGAAATTTCTGTTTCCTCCCACCAGACAGAGTCGGTAGCCCCAGGGCCATCTTTGCGCTAGCTCTGGTCTGTAAATGTATCTAAATAAGCCTTGCTATAAATCTTTCTCTGTTAATCTTCTAGCTGTTCCCAAACTTCAGCACTGCCTGGTGAAGGTGTACTTCGCCAAAGACTGAGGAGTCATGGTTCACTTGGTGGAAGCTGTCTGATAAATAGAGGATGCTGGAAAAGACAGATTGAACGTCAGTGTGAGATCGTGCACTGCCGTAATCTGTCTTTCAGGTTAATGAGAATTAGGAATTGGGAGGGGAAAACCAGTTGGAGATAGCTCCGAACCAGGTGGTGATCAGTGGTGGAGGTAGATGTCCAATCGGTCTCGGTCACCCTTCGGGGTCCAGGGGTTGTGAGATCCTGACCCACCCAGGGCAGGACAAATGCCCTCTGCTTGTCACTGCCTTTTTGGAAGGGACTCTGAGGAGTGTGAGCATTGAAAAGTACACAGAAGCCCATGGAATCGTGGAGTTAAGACAGTGGAGGTCACTTAGGCCAAACTCTTGACCTGGGTGGAGTCCTTTTCACGGCCTCCCTGAGCTGGTTGTCGTCTGGCCCCTGCTTGAATACCCCCAGTGACCTGGGACTCACCACCTCAACATAGTCACTGTATAGGACTCAGGCATTCCAGAACATTCCTTGAGGACTCAGTCTCACCACACCAGTGCTGAATAACCTTTCTTCCATGATAAGAAGAAAGACTAAAGCTAGCTTGGGGTAACAGCTCTGGATGTTTTTTTTTCCTCTCCCCAGGTGGGGATGGGTGTTGGACACAATAAGCATTTTATTTCTGTTTTTTCTTGGAGGCACAAATTAACATTTTTTCCTACCCAGGGGCCATCATACCCTAAGCTGTGCTGATTTTTAAATTGGTCTATAGAGACAACTCGTTTCCCATGTTCGGCTGATGCTCTCCATAGCTACCCAAAAGTCCATTTATTTGTAACTCTAAAGCAATGACTCCCAGCCACAGCAATTTCACACACACCCCCACTCCCGCTGGGGACACTTGGCGCTCTCTGGAGACACTTTGGTTCCCACAGCTGGTGTGGGGGTGCTATTGATATCCAGTGGGTAACAGCCGGGGGTGCTGATAAAGACCCTACAGTTCACAGGACAGCCCCCCAAAACAAAGAATGATTTGACCCAGAACATCTCAGTGCCAAGGCTGAGAAACTCTAGTCTAAAGGTACCATAAATAGCCAACCAGTAGGACCATCTGCATTTATATTTGTCTTCAGGGTTTTTTTTTAAATTTTGTTGTTTGAGATGGGATCTCACTCAGGCTGGAGTGCAGTGGCATGATCTTGGCTCACTGCAACCTCTGCCTCCCAGGCTTCAGAGATCCTCCCATCTCAGCCTCCCTAGGAGGTAGGACGTGTACAGATGTGCACCACCACACCCAGCTATTTTTTTTTGTATTCTTGGTAGAGACGAGGTTTTGCCATGTTGCTCAGTCTGGTCTCAAACCCCTGAGCTCAAGTGATATGCCCATCTCGGCCTCTCAAAGTGCTTGGATTACAGGTGTGAGCCACCACACTCGGCCTGTCTTTAGGGTTCTTACAGAAGAGTTTGTGTAGAAGCAAGCAGTTTGCTGTAGAAAGAATTCGTGGAAAATCAGGTGTTGTGGGGCATGGTGGTTGTGATAGGATGCAGGGGCACTGCAGTTTGCCAGCTTTCAACCATAACTTTCCTCACAGATTGGTGGATATCTTTGAATCATAATTAGGAGCTTTTTTTTAAAAGGTCTCTCGGGTTTTGTAAGACACGTCCAACTTATTACTAATAAACCAAGGAGGTATCTGTTACCTTCAATTAGAGGAGAAGACAGCACGGAGTCCCAATCAAAGAGTTTTAAAAGGCCTTGTTTTTTCAATAGCTTATTCATCCAGTTTAAGAAAGCAATTTCTTTGCTGTAGTTTATGGAGAATTCTAAATCTGGTAAATCGTTTATTGCTTCATAGGGGTTTGCTTTGGTTGATCTCATGTATGTACCAGGGAAGACCAAAAATATTTTTTTTGAAAAAACATGTGAGGTCATGTTTTTTCTCCTTGACTTTAGAAGACAAAGATAATGATGCAAGTGTTGCTATATGGTGGTGAGATGATGACAGACAGAGGCACTGGGTCATTCCCACACCCGCTTTCTGGGGTAGGGCCCATGCTGAGAGAGGAGGTGGAAGAGCTTGTCAGTCAAGGCAGCAGCTAATTTCACTGAGCTCCAGGACTCTACGGACTCTTCCAGAATCAATCACATTTGCCATGAACATCAGGTCCCCTTGTCCCCCATCCCCATGACCGAGACCAATCCAAACTTGAAAATGGATGAAATCAACATTTCTGGGGTGCCCCCTCTGTGCTGGCCTTATCTGTGGCTTGGTACAAGATCCTAGAATGGGAACAAGAGGTGTGCACTCCTTAGGGACAAAGAAGTTGGGGCAAGGAAGGAGTCCTGGGCCTACCATGTGCTGTCACTTGGCAACATAAGACCAGCAGTATAAACAAAGGACTGTGGGATTCTGAATTGTCCCACCAGGTAAAATCCTCTTTTTCTTTTCTGGCTTGTAAGCATAATGATTGAGTGACACTTTTCACTTTTAAAATGAAAATGGCAAAACTTAAATGAGGGAGTTTTTGTTAAGTCGTGGTGGCCCAGTTGGAGTTTAAAGATGTTCTAGGGCACAGTACAGGGATCCTCCTCCAATTGTGTGATTATTTTTTCCCCCATGGTAAAAGTCACGCCGTGTTTCCCCTCCTTGTGAGGCTCATGGAAACACACAGCCGAGGTTCTGATGGTGGCCACCGCTGGACAAGCGCACTCTCTGAGATGTGGCCATGTCCCTGCCGTGCTAACAGGCCCCAGTGCCAGTGCGCCCTGGGCTTATTTGTGGCTTAAATCATCTCAGCACCCTGAATTCTTCCCTCTGGAGACACGCTCGGAACCGTCCCCCCAATTGATGACATTGCAGCTGTCATGCAAGAGCTTGCCTTCACATCTCTCCTGTGGAACGTGACAGTTTTCTCTGTGATGGCCAAATTAATTATTAGAAATGGTTTGCTAGCAGACAGTTGGATGCTGATTACGATTGGAACCTTAGGGACCCTGGAACCCAAATGTGTTGATGTTTGTTGTTGCTGAGAAAAATGAAAAACCATAAAATAAGAAAGAAATGTTTTTAAACTGAAAACAATGCAGATTAAGCCAGGAAACTTTTGGACTGAGTTAACTGAGATCTGAGTGAAATCTACCCAAACCCTTGCTCGCAGTGAGAAGGTTTAGAGAAGTGGTTAATTAGTTGCTACTTTCTGTTAGAGAGGGGATTGAGCTTGGCTATTTCTATGTAAAGCAAAAAGACTGGCATTGATTAAATTGGAGATGACATTTGGGAGGTGTTCTCAGAATATCTAAGTTTGATTATCTAATTTGCCTTCATACTGTGTCCTGGGTTTGTGAAGCCTTTCTAGCAAGTACCACCCAGGAAGAAATATTTTCAATTAAATGGATCATGACCACTGCAGAAGGAATCATGAAACGCACCTGTAGCGTGGGGTCATGGTGTGAACAAAGCTGCCAGGCTCACAAAGAGACAGTCTGGGAGTCGGCTGTGCTAATGCCAGCTTTGAGCATCATTTCACTCCTTCCCATCAACAGTTCCATTAATGAGATACAGAGATGAAGGCAGGCAGATACTTCATGGAGCTGTGTGACGCAAGATTGATGCTGTCACCAGCTCTCATTGGAACGAATAAGAAAGAGGCCGACAGACCCTTGATCATTAGAAGGGCTGATAATCTATTGTGAGTTTGTCAAAAGAGGAGGAAGAAGATCAAATATTAGTGGAGAAAGAACACAGAGTAAAGAACACGATGGAAACTTCCTAATCATTTTGTGTAGTTATGAAATGGGTAGCTTTATTTAGCAACACATATGATATGATACAGGCAATATTCCAAGCATGCATTCTAGAGTAATCTTTAATAAATAAGTAAACAAAGGCCAGGGCGGTGGCTTGCACCTGTTGTAATCCCAGCACTTTGAGAGGCCGATGCAGGAGGATCACTTGAGCCCAGGAGTTTGAGACCAGCCTGAGCAACATGGTGAGAAGCCGCCTTTCAAAAAATAAAAAAAAAAATTTAAAAACTTTAAAAAGTAAACAAAGAGCATCCATAAATACTTTTTTGGGGATTCCGTGGGATTTTTTAATAGTCATTTTTTTCTCAAAGAGAGTTAAGTAATTTATAATTTCTTGTTAAATGAGGGTGGCTGTTATAACAGTATAAAAAATAAGTTTTGTCTAATGTTGCAGCTCAATCGTTATTCATCATACAGGACTGTCTGGTGGCAGACACAGAAATTTCCCCTTAGTGTCACCTGTGGATGCAGCAGGTCAGTGAGTTCCCCCACTTCCTTTAGAGACACGTGAACCACTCTAAATACTGTCATTTCTCAGGGAAAATTTACACAGAGGTAATGACAGATACATAAATTCCATTGTTCCAGAGCAGAACAAGTATGGTTGAGGGAGGAATGATGTTATAAGAAACTGCTTTACAGTCCCTGAGATTCTTTTCCAATTACATTTAGGGTTGAATTTTCAGATACTTTTTGTTGCATCCAAGGAAGGAATTTTAGGGGAATTATATTTATTAAATCTCATTTTTCTTTGCTTCATCCAGCTTTTCCTTGATACTTTTAATTCTTACCATGCAGTAATTCAGTGACCTCAATTCTCCCTCCCCTGAGCCAGAAAGGAAAGCCCTCTGTGTTTAAACAGACTCAGAGCCTCCTGCCTGTCCTAGTTCTGCAGAAAGGAAGCTGCACCTTTACAGAGCCCCTCTTGGCACAGGTAGAGATTGGCAGTTCGGTCCTGTTCAAAAGGTTAAGGAGGGTAGGGGCCGGTTCAGCAGCATAAACATCTGATACTCAAGTAGGGTCTCCCAAACAGCAGCATCGATATCACCTGGTAACTTGTCAGAAATGCAGAGTCTGAGGCCCCACCCCAGACCCACCGCATCAGAATCTGCATGTGCACAGGGTCCCCAGGCAATTCCTATGCACACTGAAGTGTGGAGAGCTCTGCAGGTCTAGCAGGCTCCCAGGCAGACTCCAAGCTGATAGACACAGGAACACAGCCTGAGTTTCACTCCATGGCAGCGGTGTTGATAGTGCTGTGGCCAAGAGTGATGCATTTGAGGAATATATGAGGAATGGAGGACAGTGAGGAGGGATGAAAATGACCTGAACACACAAGCAAAGCTGTAAAAGTGAAAAATCTCTCTTCATGGACCTTGCTGCTTGTGTGGTTGAGGGAGAATTTTTTTCCCACCGTTGGAGAAGAAATTCATTCTACATTGATTGACTGGAAGGTCAAACAATGAACGAAAAGTAAGAATTAATTTAAAAAAAGGAGAGAGAGAGGGAGGCAAAAACTTAATTATAAACCAAGGTTCTCATGTTCGGCTAAACTACAGGGCACTTTGCCCCATATTTTTTCCCTGTAAGTTCACATTTCTTATAAAACAACTACAAAGTAAAAAAATCGTATGTGTCATATAAAACAATTATTTGTGTCTCTTGTTGAGAAAAAATATACAGCATGCATTAACAAATGCCTTTCCTTTCTCATGTAGTTGTTTATTGAGTTTAAAGTGTAAAATTTCTTGCAGTTTGTTTATTCTAACTAATAAGTGAACTTGACACCTCACTTTCACAGAAAGTTAAATGATGTGGTCAGTGATGTTTTTAAGATTTATATCGAAAGAAATTAAGTATTAGGTACACGACTTAAATTGATTAGAAGGTAAATCGAATCTACTGAGAAGTGTGAGCATATAAGTATGTTAGCACGTGGTATGAATAATGTGTTCTGATATGGAGGAAGATGACATAGTCTTTGATTTTATAATGCGCTGATATTCTTACAGAAGGTCAAAGCAAATCAAAGTGTTGCAAGAATGTTCAAAACTATCCACCCTAACTTCTAGGATCATGTTCTCCAAACTGCTAATTAATGAAAAGTCAGCTTCATATATTGAGATGTTTAATCAATTGGCAGATTGTTGTCAATAAATATGTGTCGTAAGTGGTTTGTAATAGACAGGCTAATGAAGTACCCTCTGTGAGTGTCAGAGCTATTTGGAAAAATCTCTCTCCCTTCTGGGCGGTTTGCCATACGTTATTAGTCTCCCTCTAACTCAAGGAAGAGTGCCCTTCAACATCGCTGGTCTCGCCTCTGGATGGAGGAGCTGGAGAAGCAGAAAGTAAATTTCATTTTCTACTAGCAGTTAGTCAAGCAACAGGAGGCGGAAAGAAGGGTGGCTACTGATAATATTAATGATCATCAGAGAAGCCAACATTTCTTAGGCAGTTGCTTCTATATGTGCTGGACTCCGCAGTCAGTACCATAATTCGGTTACTTCTTTTTTTTTTTTTTTTTTTTGTATTGAGATGGAGTTTCACTCTTGTTGCCCAGGCCGGAGGGCAATGGCGCAATCTTGGCTCACTGCAATCTCTGCCTCTCAGATTCAAGCGATTCTCCTGCCTCAGCCTCCTGAGTAGCTGGGATTACAGGCATGCACCACCATCCATGCCTGGCTGATTTTTTGTATTTAGTAGAGACAGGGTTTCACCATTTTGGTTAGGCTGGTCTCGAACTCCTAACCTCAAGTGATCCACCTGCCTCGGTCTCCCAAAGTGCTGGGATTACAGGTGTGAGCCACCATGCCTGGCCAATAATTGTTACTTCTTAATCTTCACTCTATGAGAAAGATTCTGCAACCTCTCAGATCCTTCATTACAAACATTTTTGTCATGCCACTACAATGCTGAAATAGATCTTGTAGCTAACATAACCTACTCTACACGTAATTGTTTTAAAAGTCATTATAATTCCCCAACTATAACATAATGAAGAAATAAAGGGAATAGAATTGACTGTTGAGTACATTCAATATATAAGTTACTTGTTTCTGGCTATAACGGAGGGAAGTAATAGACATTTGCATCTGTGCATAGAAATCCTGCGAATCTAACAGCTGTAACTGCAGACTGATAGCGAAGTGATGTTCTAGCTACTCACACTAGAACTGGTCGTCCTGTCAGTGAAGTGATATTATAAATTGGTGAATACTTCTTAGAAAAGTTCCCCAAATTCAGTCTCACCTCATTTGCACAGGAATATCAGTATACATTCTTACTGGCCAGAAAATGCTTTGCATTCACATATAAAACAGATTTAGGTTCTAGGCACAAATATTTGTAAACAGGATTTTCGTTTCCACGACTACCCACTGGGACATCGAGAAGGTATGCAGCCTGGGAGACCACTCCCAATGCTCCAGGCCTGGCTTATTCATGAAAGACATCTGGCATCCAAACCTTCATTCAATAAATACTAGTAGAATCCCCCATACATGAGATCGATCATGAACTGCCCTATAGATTTCCAAAAGTCTACAGTGAAGCGTTGCCACCCCATGAGACCAGGCCACTAGGATTTTCATTTCTCCTTTTCAGATGTGGCAACTGAAGCTTCAGTAGTTTCCCCAAAGACAAAGAGCTAGGAGGTAGAGGAGTTGGGATTCAGACTCTGATCTGTCTGACCCCAGAATCTCTGCATTTAACCCACTGTTCCATCCTCCCCAGTGCATCCAGACAGGCCAACATTGCCACAGAAGAGCCCGAGTAGGCTTACTGGATCATTTTTTAGAATTGTGCTTATGAAAAGGAAAAGGATTGATCAGGCATGGTGGCGCATTCCCATAATCCCAGCACTTTGGGAGGCCAAGAGTTCAAGACCAGCCTGGGCAACATAGGGAGAATCTGTGTCTATAAAACATAAAAAAACAAGTTAGCCAGGTGTGGTGGCATGCACCTGTGGCCCCAGCTCCTCAGGAGGCCTAGGTGGGAGGATCACTTGATCCCAGGAGTTCAAGACCAGCCCAGACAACATAGGGAGACCCTGTCTCTACAAAAAATTTAAAATAACAAATTAGCTGGACGTGGTGGCATGCACCTTTAGTCCCAGCTATTCAGGAGGCGAGATGGGAGGATCACTTAAGCCTGGGAGGATGAGGCTGCACTGAGTCCTGATCGCATCATTGGCACTCCAGCCTGGGCAACGGAGTGAGACCTTGTCTCAAAAAAAAAAAAAGAAAAAAGGAAAAGGATTGGTTGAAATGCACTGAGCGCCCATCCCATCTCTTGCCAGCTGTAATACCATGCCCCAGTGTTTTGTGTATGTTACCGAATGTTCACAACAGCCCTGCAGTGTAGTTAGTTGTGAGTAATCCCTTTTCACAAACAGGAAGCCTGAGTCTGAGCCCTTTCCCCAGTCAACCAGCCTATGAGAAGAACTGGATTGATTTCAATCTTGTGTTGACTTCAAAGCCCAACCTCTTGCTCCTACTCCTTAGACCAGAATGGGCCCTCAAGAGGATGGGTGTGTATAACCTGTTGATGCCATTCACCCACCTCGTCTTGATTTCCGTCCACTTTCTTTCTCATTACCTGATAAGTAAGGTGAGCAAATAATTTATTGGCCAGGCAAAGACATTTTTGAGACTGACAGGGGACACTTCCACCAGGACATTGATGTGGGTCACTCAGTGATGCCTGTTTCAGGGCCTTGAAGCAGGTAGCAGCCTTACCAAGTCATGGTTGATGCTTCTGTACAGAGTTGGAAACGTGTCGTGGGTTTCCCGATCAGAACGCACTGGGGACCCTGCCGTCACAGGAACACCGCTTTGCTTCTTTCAGTGAATGCATGATTATCTTGAGGATGGTGAGATTTTTCTGTTGAGATCTTTTCTAGTTTAAAAAGTCCCCACTGTTTTCGTGAGGCAGGGATAGGTGAGCCTCCGGCCATCATGAGAGTGGGTAGGGGCGGGCCTGGTGAAGACAAACCAGACCCCACGAGACAGAAGCTCTTCCCAGTTGGTGACTGGGAGAGAGTCTGCTTCCCAAGTCCAGTCTGGCTCACTTCCTCTCAGGAGCAGGACAAGAGAAGGCTTCCTTCAGCTTACATGAAAAGCTTGCAGTAAAAGAGTACAAGTGACGGATTCTGCCTGAATTTCCCCAAGTTTCTGCACTTGTCTTTGTTTATTATATTAATAAATACTATGCAGCTAATGTTCCCATCTGGCAGGGCAGAGAAAAGAGCATAAAAATGAAGTTGTGGCTACATCACTTAAATACTAATGAAGGTGATACCCACTTGGCATGGTGGAAAGGTGGGTCTTTATTTTAGAGTTCTTAATTAAGAACTGCAAAGTGACTAATATTAATTAGGAAGCCAGCTGTAGCCTTCAGTTTCATGGTATATTTCTTCTTAGGAACCTGTGACGGGAGTCAGTCTGAACTTTTTTTAATCAATCAGCCCATGAGCAATTACCTATTAAATATACCTTGTGTGCATGGGACCAGACTATGTGGACAGAGATTTGTAAGATTCTGTCTTTGCCTTCAGAATCTCCACCTAATCAAAGAGTGTGCACAGATAGAGAGCCAGTATTTCAGAGAGAGAGGTCAAAGCATTTTCACAACACTATGAGTGAATAAGAGAAGTGTCGCATTATGGGGGTCAGGGAGCTTTTCAAACTACACTGGTGCCCTTCCTGCTCTGGGGTTGCAGTAGTGAGCTAGTGTAAGTGATGGGAGGGTATCATACCCCTGGGAGTCTGGGGCACAAGGGTGGTTACGGACCACCTGGCAGGCTGAAAGCTGGAGTTCAGAGGGAGGATTGACAGTCATGGGCAGAAATAGTTGGGATGGCTAGAACTGGGCTCTCAGGAGGAGGGATCATATTTCCAAAAGGTGAGGAGTGATGGGCAGCCACAGAGGTGGAAGGAAAGAGGTTAGGGCAGTGGGACCAGAAAGGGAAGTAACTGGCATTGAGCTGGGATGTCTACTCCAGCCCTTCAGCTCTCAGTCGGTCTACCAGCCATTACATTATTGATATTGTTGACTCTGTTCACACTTACAGACACACACACACATGTGCAAGCTTGGCCTCCTGCAGGGACCTGATACCCTGAGCTAGAGGGCGGGGAAGTGGTCAAAGAGGGGACTCAATACACTATGTGTAGTTGACATGACCACCCAGCACGTCATAAAATTGTACCTAGAACAATACCTAGTTATGGGTAATCCCTTTTTACAAACAGAAGACTGAATGTGAGCCCTTAGACTGAGAAGCAGAACTGGGTTTCATACTCATTTTGACTTCAGAGCCCAAGGTCTAAGATCTAAGGAGCCAGGAGCAAGAGCTCAAAAAGAAGCACCTTAAAACCTATGTTTTAATGTCTCTTGACACTGATGTATTAATATCCACTGAATTCTAGTTTCTTGAATCTCTTGTAACTGGAGAAGGGTTTTATGAAGATAAGTTGTAATGAGGGGCCAACAAACATGAAAAAATACTCGACAGCACTAATCATTAGAGAAATGCAAGTTAAAACCACAGTGAGATACTATCTCACACCAGTCAGAATGGCTGTTATTAAAATGTCAAAAAACAACATGCTGGCGAGGCTGCAGAGAACACGGAATGGTTATATACTGCTGGTGGGAATATGAGTTAGTTCAATCACTGTGAAAAGCAGTTTGGAGATTACTGGAACTTAAAACAGAATTACCATTCAACCCAGCAATCCCATTGGTGGGTATATATCTAAAAGAAATCATTCTCCCATAAAGACACATACACTCGTGTGTTTGTTGCAGCACTATTCACAATAGCAAAGGCATGGAATCAACCTGGGTGCCCATCGGTGCTGGATTTGATGAAAAGAATGTGATGCATATATACCACTGAATACTACACAGCCATAAAAGAATGAGATTACATCCTTTGCAGCAACATATGGAGCTGGAGGCCATTATCCTAAGCGAATTAACACAGAAACAGAAAACCAGATTACTGCATGTTCTCACCTATAAGTGGGAGCTAAACATTGGTCTTCATGGACAAAAAAATGGCAACCATAGAAACTGAGGGCTACTAGAGGCAGGTGGGAGAGAGGGAGCAAGGTTTGAAAAACTATTGAAAAACTATTCTCAGTACATGGTCAATGGGTTCATTAGTACCCCAAACTCAGCATCACACATTTTGTCCAGGTGACAAATCTCTACATGGACCCCCTGAATCTAAAATGAAAGTTGGGGGAAAAAAAAAAGATTAGAATGTACTTTTTCTTGATTTACACAGTGTGTTAATTATTACAGTTTTTTTCAAGTTGAGTTGTAGTCTCACATGCAGCTCTCTCCTAATTTCATACTTAGACATTCAGATCATTGAATTGTATCTGCAAAATTGCAGTTCTTTTAAATTAGCTTGCCAGAGCGCTGTGGGTCCTGTTCAGGGGCCCTGAGGCCAGGCAGTCTGTGACTCTGCTTGCTCCTTGATAAACTTTCATGAGTAGCATTTATTTTAAATCATCCAAGAACACCTCAAGGGCAAGGATCCTTAACCTTGATCCTGGGCCGTGGTGATTCACAAAGGCTTATCCTTTGTAGATTTAGGCTCATCTTTCAGGGAGCTCAGTTTGATATGCTTTTCTCTCCTCGAACTCTGCCATTCAACATTTTTTTTCCCATATCTATTCTCACTGAGTGCTAATTTTAGTTCAGGTTGCACCTGTGTGTATGTGTGTGTGTAAACCCTCTGTAGCCCTAGTTTATAGCCTTTTTCAATAAAATCACATATCCAGAGAAATTGTTTTTCCACATGAGCACTTTTTCAGAGTGTTTTCCAGAACTCTGCCTGCTGTTCTAAAGTCAACATCAGTTGCCCTCTTTAGAACGCTTCCCTAATGCAATGGTTCTGAAATCCCTGAATATATTGTTACAAGCACAGTTCTCTTCAGAAAAAGAAACCTTGGAAATGGTGGATCTATGCTTTTGTTTTTCATTTTGGAGCTTGGAGAAGTTTGTTGACCTCACGTCATCATCAGCCTCCAGTTGAATCTGTTAAACAGCCAATGTGAATAGTATCTATATAAAAACACAAAGTAAGCACAGAAACACTTTTTCAGGGGAGGTATTTTGTCATATTGAAACAGCACCTGTATTGGGGTTTTAAAATTTTAATTTTTGTGGGCATTTAGTAGGTATGTATATTTATGGGGTACATGAGTTGTTTTGATACAGGCATGCAGTACAAAATAATCAGAGCATGGAGAATGGAGTATCCATTCCCTCAAGCAAGGCACCTGTATTGTTATAATGTTTTTCCTTTAATAAGTTCAGTTCTCAAATTTATTTCTAAAAAACTATAGCAGTATTCTAAATGAAAACTAGGTTTAATTTGCTATCAATAAAATTACATACATAGTCATTGATATGGTTTGGCTGTGTCCCCACCCAAGTCTCATCTTGAATTGTAGCTCCCATAATCCCCATGTGTCGTGGGAGGGACCCAGTGGGAGGTAACTGAATCATGGGTGGCAGGTTTTTCCCATGCTGTTCTTGTGATAGTGAATAAGTCTCATGAGATCTGATGGTTTTATAAAGAGGGGTTCCCCAGCACAAGCTTTCTTGCCTGCCGCCATGTAAGATGTGCCTTTGCTCCTACTCCACCTTCCACCGTGATTGTGAGGCTTCCCCAATCATGTGGAACTGTGAGTTCATTAAACCTCTTTTTCCTGATAAATTACCCAGTGTTGGGTATGTCTTTCTTAGCAGTGTGAGAACAGACTAATACAGTCATTAAAATTGACAACTTGCATCAGTGTACACATAGAATCTTCTCATACAACACCTTTGGGAACCACTACTGGAAGGAAATGTTACATTTCAGGGACTGAGGCTGGGTACGGGAAACAGAGCCAGTGTCCATAGTGTTAATATTCGTAGGGGCCTCAGATTTAATTTTACCTGTAAGTTTTTCTTACACCAGAAATTTTCAGCCTTAGCACTCTTGATGTTTTGGGCCAGGATGTCCTGTGCAGGGTGGCATGTTCAGTGGCATCCCTGATCTCCACCTGCTAGATGCCAATAACACACCCCCACAGGCGCCCAAGGTGTGACAATTGACAACCAAAAATATCCCTAGACATTGCCAAATATCCCCTGGCAGAGGCAGAATTGCACAGGTTACTACTGTGCCTGTGTCACAAATAAGTCACACATAAGTCATTTTGTTGCTTTAATTCTTCTGTGTGTCCTTGGTCTTAAACTGTTACTTGGTTAAGTACGCAGATTGAAAAAACACTGCAAGGGAATTTTTTAGAGTCTCTCTGCACCTATTCTGGTTTCAGGACTGCCCAGTTTGCATTGTTGTTCAAAATGGAAAGAAGAGAGGGAGGAATTTTTTACAAAATAAAATTCACTACCATTTTTGAGACTTTTTTTTTTTTTTGAGATGGAGTCTCGCTCTGTTGCCCAGGCTGGAGTGCAGTGGCGCGATCTCAGCTGACTGCAAGCTCCGCCTCCTGGGTTCACACCATTCTCCTGCCTCAGCCTCCCAAGTAGCTGGGACTACAGGCACCCATCACCACACCCAGCTAATTTTTTGTGTTTTTAGTAGAGACGGGGTTTCACCGTGTTAGCCATGATGGTCTTGATCTCCTGACTTCATGATCCGCCCGCCTCGGCCTCCCAAAGTGCTGGGATTACAGGCATGAGCGAGACTTTTTTTTTTTTTTTTAACATTTTGTACATATGCCAGTAACTCCCCTCCCGCAAAAATGGAAGATTGTCTTGACCTCTCGTGAGACCTGCTGAGGCCACATCTGGTTCCCCCACTGTAGAGGTGAGTTAGGTCTCCCCACTGAATGTCAGTTCCCAAAGAAATCTCATGTGTAAATGAAAGAGCAGATCCTCCCTCCCCTCCTCACTGTTTTTTGCTTATATGTAGATGTGATTCCTTTCAAGAAAACTCCGTGAGAAATTACTTCACTATCATCCACTATTGACATCAACAGCAGCCTACATTTTTTCAAGATACTTAAAGTGCATTTTCGCTTTTAACTTTCACAACACTTTAATGTTGCTGGTTAATATTATTGATCCCTACTTTTTTATGAGAAAAACTGAACCTCAGATAGGTTAAATAACCTGCTCAAAGCCACACCACTGACATTGCTATTCTGATAAAGCAGAATATTTGAAGCAGTTTCCCCCAAAACAGAGCAATGTTCACGTTAATTATGAAACATAGCATGAATTCATAGGTAGCCTGTCAATAATTATGAGTATGTGGTATACTGATGTCATAATTTTTATATAAATGTATAAACCTGTTGGCACCCTGTGATTGTTACTGGTTTGTTTTTTTAAGTACCTTGGATGAAAACTTGAAAGAAATATACGAAAATAGAAGCAGAAGTTATGTTTAAGTGGGATACTTCTGCAGTTTTCTTTTGAACTCCCTTGTGAATTTCTAAATGGGTTGCAATATATTTTTACTTCTTTGGAAAATGAAATTTGTAAGTTAAAAGTGAAGGGAGATAGATATAGCTAACATAACTGCCAAAGTTGCTTTTTCTCTGTAACTCTAGCTAAGAAATGACCATATTCTGTCCATGTGTCCATAAGTCTAGGCTCAGGAGTCTTTCAGAGTTTATTTGATGTACCATTGAGCTGAGGGCTCTGTCCTGCCACCTTTTGTTCAAGGAAACACACGAGGCACTTCCTTAGGGAACCCAGTGAAGATACCTACTGATGGGAAGCAGGACAGTTGATTCATTCCCTCTGTTTCTGTTTTAATGCTACACTGGGGTGAGATTAAGTGGTACCTCCCAAGAGAAAGAGCAGGGAACCCGATGTGCCTAGATTGGTTCACTGTGAATCACAGCAGTTGTTCCCGTTGACATCACAGAGGGGACATTGATGGTAGATCATGTCACCATCAGCTCTCCCTAGTGAAGACTCCTATCTGGAACCACGTGGAGAAGACTGTGAGGTGAAAACATGCTACTCTCTGTCACATACTGCCAGGTAGATGCTTGCTGCTGGCAGAAGGCATAGAATATTTTGTAAACTACGTGAGTATTCTATCAAGTAATATTTTTCTGAAGCAGGCTTCCATCTGTCTTGCCATTCATTTTTAATTTCTTAGCACTTCATAGTAGACGTGTTTTGAGTATTTTGGTCAGAATTGTAAACATTGTCCTCTAAGGGAATCATTCTCAATGAGGTGCTAAGTACCTGATGTTCAGTCCTCATAACTACTCTATTAGGTAGCAGGTGGAATGCCCATTTTATTTATAATTTTTTTAAAGTTCTGGGATACACGTGCAGAACACACAGGTTTGTTACATAGGTATACATGTGCCATGGTGATTTGCCACACCTATGAACCATCATCTAGGTTTTAAGCCCCACATGCATTAGGTATTTGTACTAATGTTCTCCCTTTCCTTGTCCCCTACCCCACCACGGGCCCCAGTGTGTGAGTTCCCCTCCCTGTGTCTTTGTGTTCTCATCATTCAACTACCACTTATGAGTGATAGCATGTGGTGTCTGGTTTTCTGTTTCTGTGTTAGTTTGCTGAGAATGATGGCTTCCAGCTTCATCCATGTCCCTGCAAAGGACTTTAACTCATTCTTTTTTATGGGTGTATATAGTATTCCATGGTGTGTATGTGCCCTATTTTCTTTATCCAGTCTATCATCAAAGGGCATTTGGGTTGGTTCCAAGTCTTTGCTGTTGTAAATAGTGCTGCAGTAAATATACGTGTGCATGTGTCTTTATAGTAGAATGATTTATAATCCTTTGGGTATATACCCAGTAATGGGATTGCTGAGTCAAATGGTATTTTTGGTTCTAGATCCTTGAGGAATCGCCACACTGACTTCCACAATGGTTAAACTAATTTACACTCCCACCAACAGTGTAGTAGTGTGCCTATTTCTCCACAGCCTTGCCAGCATCTGTTGTTCCCTGACTTTTAAATAATTGCCATTGTAACTGGTCTGAGATGGTATCTCATTGTGGTTTTGATTTGCATTCTCTAATGACCAGTGGTGATGAGCTTTTCTTCATGTTTGTTGGCTGCATAAATGTCTTCTTTTGAGAAGTGTCTGTTCATATCCTTTGCCCACTTTTTGGTAGGGTTGTTTTCTTCTTGTAAATTTACTTAAGTTCCTTGTAGATTCTAGATAATAGACCTTTGTCAGATGGGTAGATTGCAAAAATTTTCTCCCATTTGAAGGTTGCCTGTTCATTCTGATGGTAGTTTCTTTTGCTGTGCAGAAGCTCTTTAGTTTAATTAGATCCCATTTGTCTATTTTGGCTTTTGTTGCCATTGCTTTTGGTGTTTTAGTCATGAAGTCTTTGCCCATGCCTATGTCCTGAATGGAATTGCCTAGGTTTTCTTCTAGGGATTTTATGGTTTTGGGTTTTACATTTAAGTCTGTAATCCATCTTGAGTTAACTTTTGTATAAGGTGTAAGGAAGGGGTCTGGTTTCTGTTTTCTGCATATGGCTAGCCAGTTTTCACAGCACCATTAATGAAATAGGGAATCCTTTCCCCATGGCTTTTGTCAGGTTTGTCGAAGGTCAGATGGTTGTAGGTGTGCGGTGTTATTTCTGAGGTCTCTGTTCTGTTCTATTGGTCTATATATCTGTTTTGATACCAGTACCATGCTGTTTTGGTTACTGTAGCCTTGTAGTATAGTTTGAAGTCAGGTAGCATGATGCCTCCAGCTTTGTTCTTTTTGCTTAGGATTGTCTTGGCTATATGGGCTCTTTTTTGGTTCCATGTGAAAGGTAAAGTAGTTTTTTTCTAATTCTGTGAAGAAAGGCAATGGTAGCTTGATGGGAATAGCATTGAATCTATAGATTACTTTGGGCAGTATGGCCATTTTCATGATATTGATTCTTCCCATCCATGAGCATGGAATGTTCTTCCATTTCTTTGTGTCCTCTCTTATTTTCTTGAGCAGTGGTTTGTAGTTCTCCTTGAAGAGTTCCTTCACATCCCTTGTAAGGTGGATTCCTAGGTATTTTATTCTCTTTGTAGCAATTGTGAATGGGAGCTCACTCATGATTTCACTCTCTGCTTATCTATTATTAGTGTATAGGAATGCTTGTGATTTTTGCACATTGATTTTGTATCTTGAGACTTTGCTGAAGTTGCTTATCAGCTTAATGAGTTTTGGGGATGAGACAATAAGGTTTTCTAAATATGCAATCACGTCATCTGCAAACAGAGACAATTTGACTTCCTCTCTTCCTAGTTGAATACTTTCCTTCTCTTGCCTGATTGCCCTGGCCAGAGCTTCCAATACTATAGGAGTGGTGAGAGAGGGCATCTTTGTCTTGTGCCATTTTTCAAAGGGAATACCCGTTCAGTATGATATTGGCTAGAGTTTGTCATAAACAGATCTTTTTGAGATATGTGCTATTAATACCTAGTTTATTGAGAGTTTTTAGCATGATGGGATGTTGAATTTTATCAAAGGCCTTTTCTGCATCTATGGAGATAATCATGTGGTGTTTGTCCTTGATTCAGTTAATGTGATGGATTACTTTTATTGATTTGCGTATGCTGAACCAGCCTTGCATCCCAGGGGTGAAGCCTACTTGACCTTGGTGGATACGCTTTTTGATGTGCTGCTGGATTCAGTTTGCCAGTATTTTATTGAGGATTTTCACCTGTTGATCTTCATCAGGAATATTGGCCTGAAATTTTCTTTTTTTGTTGTCTCTCTGACAGTTTTTGGTATTAGCATGATGCTGGCCTCATAAAATGAGTTGAGGAGGAGTCCCTCTTTTTCTATTATTTGGAATCATTTCAGAAGGAATGATATTAGCTCTTTTTGTCTCTGGTAGAATTTGGCTGTGAATCCATCTGGTCCTGGGGTTTTTTTTTTTTTTTTTTTTTTTTGGTTGGTAGGCTATTAATTACTGCCTCAATTTCAGAATTTGTTATTGGTCTCTTCAGAGATTTGGCTTCTTCCTGCTTTAGTCTTGGGAGGGGGTGTGTGTCCAGGAATTTATCCGTTTCTTCTAGATTTTCTAGTTTTAGTAGAGGTGTTTATAGTATTCTGATGGTAGTTTGTATTTCTGTGGGATCAGGGGTGATATCCCCTTTTTATTTTGTCTATTTGATTCTTCTCTTTTTCTTTGTTAGTCTAGCTAGTGGTCTATTTTGCTAATCTTCTCAAAAAACCAACTCCTGGGTTTACTGGTTTTTTTAAAGGGTTTTTCCTGTCTCTGACTCCTTCAGTTCTGGTCTGATCTTATTTCTTGTCTTCTGCTAGCTTTTGAATTTGTATGCTCTTGCTTCTCTAGTTCTTTTCCTTGTAACGTTGGGGTGTTGATTTCAGATCTTTCCAGCTTACTGATGTGGGCATTTAGTGCTATAAATTTCCCTCTAAACACTGCTTTAGCTACATCCCAGAGATTCTGATATGTCGTCTCTTTGTTCTCATTGGTTTCAGAGAACTTACTTTTTTCTGCCTTAATTTCGTTATTTACCCAGGAGTCTTTCTGGAGCAGGTTCAGTTTCCATGTAGTTGTGCAGTTTTGAGTGTTTCTTAATCCCAAGTTCTAATTTGATTGCACTGTGGTCTGACAGACTGTTACGATTTCATTCTTTTGCACATGCTGAGGAGCGTTTTAGTTCAAATTGTGTGGTTGATTTTAGAATAAGTGCCCTGTGGCATTGAGAAGAATGTATATTCTGTTGATTTGGAGTGAAGAGTTCTGTAGATGTCTATTAGGTGCACTTAATCCAGAGCTGAGTTCAAGTCCTGAATATCCTTCTTAATTTTCGGTCTTGTTGATCTGTCTAGTATGGACAGTGGGGTGTTAAAGTCTCCCACTACTATTGTGTGGGAGTCTAAGTCTCTTTGTAGGTCTCTCAGAACTTGTTTTATGTATCTCTGTGCTCCTGTATTGGGTGCATTTATATTTAGGATAGTTTGCTCTTCTTGTTGCATTGATCCCTTTACCATTATGTAATGCCCTTCTTTGTCTTTTTTGATGTTTTTTAGTTTAAAGTCTGTTTTGTCAGTGACTAGAATTGCAACCCCTGCTTTTTTTTTTCTCTCCATTTGCTTAGTAAATATTCTTCCATTCCTTTATTTTGAGCCTTTGTTTGTCTTTGCACGTGAGATGGGTCTCCTGAATACAGCACACCAATGGGTCTTGACTTTTTATCCACTTTGCCAGTCTGTGTCTTTTAACTGGGGCATTTAGCCTATTTACACTTAAGGTTAATATTGTTATGTGTGAATTTGATCCCATCGTGATGCTAGCTGGTTATTTTGCACATTAGTTGATGCAGTTTCTTCATAGTGTCCTTGGTCTTTATATTTTGTTATATTTTTGCAGTGGCTGTTACAAATTTTTCCTTTCCATATTTAGTGCTTCCTCAGGAGCTCTTGTAAGGCAGGGAATGCCCATTTTAGATATGAGTAAATGAGGCTCAGACCTGTTCACGATTCTTGCCTCGGTGGCTCTGCATGGTGATCTATTCCTTAGTGAGTCCTCTTGAATTTGGGGTAAGTCTATTTATTGTCTGTCATCTAAGGCAGCTTGCTTTTTGTCTTCTGGTGCATATCAAAAAGTGGCTGTTTCCTCTTTTAAAAGCTTATTTTTAATTTTTGTGGGTACACAGTAGGTGTATGTATTTATGGGGAATATGAGATACTGTGGCTCAGGCATGCAATGTGTAATAATCACATCTTGGTATATTGGGTATCTATCCTTTTGAGCATTTGTCTTTGTTACAAACAATCCATTGATACTCTTATTTTTAAGTGTAAATTATTGATTACAATTCTCTTGTGGTGGGGGGACTATAGTGCCTCATTTAATTATTGTTCATTCTATTTTTTTTTTTAACCATTAACCATTGCTACTTTTCCTCCCAGCCCCCTACTACCCCTTCCAGCCTCCGGTCACCATCCTTCTCCTCTCTATCTCCATGAGTTCAATTGCTTTGATTTTTAGATCCCACAAGTTAGTAAGAACATGGACTACCTGGTTCTTGATTTAACATCTACAACATTTTCAGATTATTTTTGCTTGTTTACAGTTTTTATATGTTATACCTAATTTGAAATTTAGATATTGGTGAATTAACTGCTAAGCATGATTATTTCCATTAAGTACGGGGGAGCTTTGCTTACCTACTTTGTACTTCTTGTTCCTAAATGTTAGGGTTATATAGCTCATCTCAGCACTAACATTATTCCTTACCCATGTTTTGAACTTTTATTTTTCTGGCGTTAATGCTATTGCCCACAATCCCTGCGAGTACCCCTGAATCCGACCCAGTAGTTTTGCCTTGTAACCTCCAATTCCCAAGGAATATAGCCTGGCAATAGATTGTTTCATGTATTTTTACACACATGTGATCTTCATATCCATCAGTAGTTAGTCTTCTGCACTCACCAGAAGCAAGATGTCATGTCTGGGGAAAGGTTTGTTTTTTTTGTTTTTTTTTTTTTTAAAGAGCTGTAGACATTTTAATAAAAGTTTCTTCTCAGCTTTTCTCTGATGCATATCAGGAGGAAAGTATAGTAACAGAGAATATAGCATTACTGCAACATGCCTGTCTGAATACATTTCAGTTCATTGAGCTAGATTTCCCTGAAAAGGGAACATTCCCAGCCAAGTCTGCCCTAAAATCACAACCAAGGTGGCAAGCCCAGATTCTTGATGTCTGCCAGTGTCATTTTTGTAATATTTTATTCTCCAGCACAGTGGCAACCAGGATCAGAGCTAATAGTCTAATCAAAACGAAAGATGCCCAGGCTCAGATGGGGATGGGATGAAGCCCTACACCAAGTTAGAGTGGTGAAGTCCACTAGTGTTTCTGAACAAGGTGCCGACTCTTGGCATGAACCCACACAGTCTCTGAACCATTGTGCTGGTCATGACCACTGAGGCGTGGCAGGAAGGTGGTCTCTGTGGAGACTCACAGCCTGCTTACAAGCAATTCCAGGAGCAGGAAGCACAGAGACATATGGAAATTCCACTCTCATGCTTAATATACAACGTGCAAAATGAATTTTTCATATTGGCTTTTTTAAAAAATGGAAGAGTTCCAGCTTTGCCTCACTGGTGTGCCTTTTGGAGTTAGTGTCCTTTAAAGCAGCCAGAGGGGGAATAACTGTAATGTAAGCAGAGTGGTGTTTGCAAGTGAGAGCTGGGGGAGAGGCGATGATGATTTTGGAAACATTATTCTGGGTGTTGAATTGAACAAAGAGTTATTACTGAAGGAAAAAATACCCAGAAATGCATTGTTAATGCTCTCTCAGATTTGGGCCTGGAGAACCATACTGTGAACTGAGTGGAAGATAAATAGAGAGGAAAATAGCAAATTAAGGGGACAAATAACCAGGGGGAAGAGGAGGGGGGAAGGTTGCCTGCTGGCATCAGGAGAGGAGAATATATAACCAGTGTCTGATGCATTTCCTTAAGAATCAGTGTGTTTGCAAATTGCTCCATTGCATCTTAGCAGAATCTAATCTGGGTAACGAAGAGCTGACTAGCGAACATAGTTGGATGAATTCCCCAAGTACTCCTGAAATATAACAGAGCAAGGAACAGTATAATGAAAAATAACAGAGAGTGTAGCTGGAGGCTTAACTTATGATCAGTGTTCATTACAACAAATGACATTTTCACTGCAGAGTTACCGTAAGATTATTGACTCTTACGTAATATGGTTCCCATCTGAACAGATTCGAGAACAGCTTAGCCTGTGAATGGGAGAGCTGCAGAGGACTGAAGATATACTCAGTCCCCTTATTCATGTTTTCAGTTAGTCCTTGGGAGCTGCCTGTTCAGGACCATGGACAGAGCAAAAAGAGTTTGCACCTTCCTCCAGGCAGAATCTTGGTGATTGTCTTTGGCAATGACTGGCATGGTCATGTGTAATATTCAGTGAAAACCAGGCTCAGAAAGTGACTAAACTTGTTGGTAGTTTCATATCCAAGGCCTCCTCCTTATGTTCTCTGCCATTTGCTATTTTCCTCAAGCATACATATTGCAACATTTAAAAAATATATATCTCTTTGGAAAGAAACAGTGTTTTGTCTAAAACGTTGGGCACACAACCATAAGGCATATTGCAACTCTATGGCTTCAACCACATTTGAATGGACAACCCCAGTTCTGAGCGTAGTGTGGCATTGCCTTGGTTTATTGAGCACCTGTTTGATACCTGCTGAGCACTCTGTATTTCTGTTATTTTGTCCTCCCAACAACCCTATTGAGTTATGTGCTATTATTATCAGTCCTGTTTTATGGAGGATAAAGCACTTTTATCAGAGAGGTTAGGTAACTTGTCTAAGGGTACCCAGCTGCCAAGAATCACGAATGAATTTCAAAGTCATTTCTACCAGTCTGCTGTACATTATAACTTTCACACAGGTGCTGAACATAAAGAGAGATTCATTCATATTCATTCTCTCTCACTCTCTCTCGCTCTCTGGAAAAGCAGCCTGGATAGTAAGTCTATCCAGAAGCCTTGCTTTCACCCAGTATTCATGAGTCATACCAGCGTTGCTTGCTGTGTATTTTAAAAGTTAACTCTATACAGGTGTCTCCCATGAGAAAGGGTTTACTGTCACTATTAGCTGGAGGTGCAGATGTCAGCCCCCAGTACATGGGAGTTAGAAGCAGAGCAAGAGAACACAAAGAGGCCAGTGGGTGAGGGGCTGTCTTGTTGCAGGGAAAGAAGCAAAGTGGTATTTGGAAACAAATCAACAGTTGTCAAAAGAATAATGAAGACATCTATGGGAACTCAGTAGTAGCGTCTTCGGATCTCACCTTTTCTTTAGTTTTCAGTTGTGTATTTCTAAATTTTATGGGAAAAAAATTCCTCAACAAAGAATGGGGAAGTTAAAAAATACAGTTAGCCCTATTATAACCAGGGGATTTCTAAGCAGTTTATTGCCTTGTTTATAAAAGCCTGATTGGGACGTCCCTCCTCCTGGCCACTGCAGCCTATTCTGGAGACTTCCCTGCAGCCCGTCTTCCCTGGCAATGGGCCCAGAGGCTAGACGTAGTGTGGCCACTCGAGAAGGATCACAGCTGAGTGAGGAAGTCTGGTCCACCCTGGAAACGGCAAACTCATGAATGCACCCAAGCTGTAGTCACTGCTGCTTGAGCCCCCAGGGAGGGCCTCATGGATAATGCACTCTAGCCAGCCGGGCGCTGGGGACCTTTGGCTCTTAAAGCTGCTTTTATGTTTTTGTGCTTTGGGGGAAGAGAAGGACTGAACATATTTTCTCCAACCAAGTAGCATTTACGGGCTTCAGGAGTTATTCATTTTGGCTTAAAAACCTTTCCAATATCACAACTATTACAAATAAGGACATTGGGAAAATCTCTAGGTAAACGGGACTCTAGATAACAGATTTCCTGTGTGTATCCTTCCTTACTCGAAACCAGCAGTTTCCAGCCTTTTTGGCACCAGGCACCAGTTTTGTAGAAGACAGTTTTTCCATGGACCAGCAGGGTTGCGGGGAGATGGTTTTGGGATGTGTCAAGCACTTTACATTATAGTGTGCCTTATTTCTATTATTATTACATTGTAATGTATAATGAAATAAATATACAGTACACCATAATACACAATCAGTGGGAGCCCTGAGCTTATTTTCCTGCAACTAGACAGTCCCATCTGGGGGTGATGGGAAATAGTGACGGATCATCAGGCATTAGATTCTCATAAGGAGCGTGCAACCTAGATCTCTCGCATGTGCAATGGGGAGCAGCTGTAAATAAAAATGAAGCTTTGCTTCCTCGCCTGCCACTCACCACCTACTATGCAGCCCAGCTTCTAACAGGCTGCGGTTAGGTACCTGTCCACGGCCCAAGGGTTGGCCACCCGTTTTCTAAAGTATTAAAAGTAACCAAGTGCCAGGATGACAGGAAAGGGGCCGTCAGCCTTTAAAATGTCTTTCATCTAAGTACAAGAAGGTGGCTCAACTCCACCATATTCAGCTTGTCTATATCTGCTGTGCAGTAGCATAGCCACCAACTATAGGTGGCTCCTGAGCTGTTGAACTGTAGCTTGTCTGACGGACAGTGTGCTCTAACTCTAAAATACTCACCAGAGTTCAAAGACATAGTACTCAAAAAATCATTAAATTTATGTAATAAATTTACTAAATTATTCATCATCAAATTACAGATAACATAGATCATGAATCATTTTTAAATTGATGACATGTTGAAATGATATTTTGGCTATATTGGGTTAAATAAAATATGATATTAAAATTAATTCCATCCAGTCTTTTTTACTTTTATAATGCAGCTATGAGAAAATTTAAAGCTACATTCATGGCTCAAATTATATTTTGGACAGCGCTATTCTGCAGAGATATGTGGAATATGGAATGTGTCTCTGCAAATTGGACGTACTAATGTGTGTTTAAGAAGATTTTAGAAACAGCTTATGAGAAGAGAACTTAACTCACTCGAGGTATTCAGTGAGCAAATACTAAATAAAAGAGGGCTTGTTTTACCTTTTTGGGGAGATATGTTGGATGGAAATCTTCTTGGATGATCGTTTTTCAGGGAAGAATACTTTTCCATGAGAATATTGTTGGGGTAGTAGGAGACGATTGTTACAGAACATGGTTGGTTGACATTTGAAAATAACCATGGTGCACACTTTCCTTTGGAATGTTCCATCCAGTGTCGTCGTACGGGGCCCGGGAGGTGCTTGGCTTTGCAGACACCTGCTCCTCTGCCATCTCCACCCCACGCTTTTACTTCCACCTCGCTTTCACCAGCTGTATTTAGCATGCTCTAGCACCTTCCAGGGGTGTTTTGTGGGTGAGATTCTTAGATGAAACACTTTGGATTCTTGGATGCTAGGGGCTGTTATGACAAGCTTCGGCTCTTCCCTCCCCACCCACAGCCACAGTTTTGCTTGCAGCCTACGGGGCCTGTTGGGGGCATGAAGCAGCTAAGGCTCTCCCCTAGCCAGAGGCAGCTCCTAGGTGAGGCAGTGCCAGGGTCCCACTCAATTCCTTGCTGATGCATGGAATCTTCTCATAGATCATAGACATCTTTATTTTTAAGCTTTTTGCACTTGCAGACCATACATTTTTCTGAGATTCTTAAAAATCTGATTTTAGGCTGGGCACCGTGGCTCACACCTGTAATCCCAGAAGGTCTGAGGAGGAGGAGGTCTCAGGCCAAGGCAGGAGGATCATTTGAGGCCAGGAGTTCTATATTAGCCTGGGCAATATAGCAAGGCCCTATCTCTACAAAATATTTAAAAATCAGCCAGACATGATGATGCACACCTGTAGTCCCAGCACTTTGGGAGGCTGAGACAGGAGGATCTATTGAGTCCAGGAGTTTGAGGCTGCAGTGAGCTATGATGGCACCGCAGCCAGGGCAACAGATCAAGACCCTGTCCCTAAACTAGGAGGAAATGGATGAAAATTATTAAGTCTGCTGAATCTACCCAGGGCTACAAGTATTTTTTTAAACTTTAAACTCTTCATTCTTTTTCAGGATTTTTTTTTTCCAAAAAACTCAAAAATGTGAAAGTGAAAAAAGAGGAGATGGAGTTCAAAGTCTCATCTCCTGTTGAGCTCTCGGAGATGCCGTCTCCATTATCCCATTGCCAGGTGTTCACTTGCTCCTAAATACCACTTTGCTCTTTCTGCACACCAGCAGAAATGAGATGCTGTGTTTGTGGATAGTATTTGCCACTTCAAAGAGAACACGGCTTACATGGGGAAGTTTGTCTTTGCCAGGGAAGTGGGAAAAGGTACCAGATGCAGCTTCTCCGAGCTGCTTCTGCCTAAAGCTCACCTGGTGAGAGCCGCATGGATAATGCACATGTAGGTAGTAGGTAGCTGGGTATTTTCTGGCGTTGATTCCTAAGGATTTTTAAAATATCATTACTCTACTTGTTTTTGTTTTTAAACAGACATGGGGTATTGCTATGTTTCCCAGGCTAATCTTGAACTCCTAGGCTCAAAGGATCCTCCTGCCTCAGGCTCCGAAAGTGCTGAGATTATAGGCATGGGCCACCACACCTGGTCTGCTCCATAAGTGGAACGTCATTCACCTTCCAGAAAATCCATGGGCGATGGAGGAGGGGAAAATAATACAGTGCTGTCTAAAATCTCATGATACTGGCCGGGTGTGGTGGCTCACGCCTGTAATCCCGGCACTTTGGGAGGCCAAGGCGGGTGGATGGCTTGAGTCCAAGAGTTCAAGACTAGCGTGGGAAACAAGGCAAAACTCCATCTCTACAAGAAATGCAAAAATGAGCCGGGTGTGGTGGTATGTGCCTGTAATCCCAGCTACTTGGGAGGCAGAGGTTGCAGTGAGCTGATAATGTTCCAATGCACTCCAGCTGGGTGACAGAGCAAGACTCTGTCTCAAAAAAACTCACGATAATTATAGATTATCATGCCATAATCTAACCAGAGCACAGAAGGAATCTTAGAGGTACAAGCCCTGTAGAGTTTCACGTAACATGATTTGGTTAAGGGGTAAATATGTTAATATTAAAGTGATTTGCTCTACAGGGTTCCTGGGCAAAGCATGTTAAGTTCCATTCAGATGCCCAACCCTGACCAGGCTGAATCCTTTGCCTGGAGTGCTTTATCTTTGTGAGGTCTGGCACATTCCAACAGAGCACCTGCTCAGTGTGTGATATCTGCCGTGGATATGAGATGGGGAGTAGCAGTGCTCAGGCCAGATAGTTACCACCCCTGTTTAGATCCACACACCTCCTTTTTCTGTTTGGGGAAATGCAAATCACCCTGCTAGTGGATTAATCCCAAAGCCTTCTGAATTCCAATTCACCATTCTCTGCCCTGCACTCTGACACCTATAGGCCTGAACTTAGATTAAACGTGATGTCCAGCTTTCCACTGACATGGTGTATTAGTCCATTCTCACACTGCTATAAAGACATACCTGAGACTGCGTAATTTATATAGAAGAGGTTTAACTGGCTCATGGTTCTGCAGGAGGTACAGGAAGCATGGCGGCTTATGCTTCTGGGGAGGTCTCAGGAAACTTAGAATCATGGTGGAAGGCAAAGGAGGCAGGCACACATGGCAGAGCCAGAACGAAAGAGCACAAGGGCGTCAATGCTGCATGCTTTTCAACAACCAGATCTCGCGAGAACTCACTCACTATCACGAGAACAGCACCAAGGGGATAGTGCTGAACCATTCATGAGAAACCGCCCCCATGATCCAACCACCTCCAACACTGAGGACTACAATTCTACATGAGATTTGGTGGGAACACAGATCCAAACTATAGCACACGGCCATGTGTCACCTGCTGTGGTGAAATCATCAGGTCACCTGGGCAGAGAGAAACTGAGAGGGAGGGACAGTGCCAAGAGCAGATGGCCAACAGCCACAAATAGGGAGAGGAGGAGGAATATCAGTGGTGATACTAATACCACTATGTATGGTATGCTTCTACCGTTTGTCCTTATCGTAAAACAAGAGAAAGCAAAGGCTTCTCTCTAGATACTGGCATTCCTTTTCATGGGACACCAGATCTGTGTAATGTCACTACCTCTAGAGCCACAGGACAATGTGTGCTCCACATGGTTTCCTTCACGTGATATTGCTTAAGGCTTCAATGACTTAGTATATACAACGTGGCAGAGAAGCTTCCTGTGTGCACACTACAGGAATCCTGCCCTGGTGATGACCAGCCTAATGACTCAGAGGTCATGAACGACCCTCATCTGCCCATGTAGGAGCCTCGTGAGGCCAGAAAGACTCTAACCCTTCCATGATAATAAAAATTCATTCTGATTTTTTTTCCAACAAAGGGAAGAAAACACTACTTTTATGTTAATTTTAGCTGGGCCTGGTGAGTTGTACCTGTAATCCCAGCTACTCAGGAGTCTGAGATCACTTGAGGTCAGAAGTTTGACACTAACCTGGGCAATATAGCAAGATCCCATCTATAAAAATAGTTTAAAATATATATATAATGTTAATTTTAACCAAATTCTCTTATAAATTACTATCTTCAACTAGTTCTTATCAACATTAAAAATCATTAACATTCTATAAAAGTCCTTTGTATCTTAAAGGAATTTAGTAGAATCACCCTGGTCACGGTACTGTACAAAAGTGTCCGCAAGAGGACAATGGCCTGGCTCCCAGAAGGCCTCACGAAGTGGCGCTGCAGCACCTTTACTGAGTGCCTGGTCTTCCCTTTAGCCTTAGAAGCCCTGCAAGCTGGCAAGGTGTGCCTGTAATCCCAGCACCTTGGGAGGCTGAGGCAGGAGGATCACTTGAAGCCAGGTGTTTATGAAAAAAAATTAGGCATGGTGGCATGTGCTTGTGCCAGCTACTCAGGAGGCTGAGGCAGGAGGATCACTTGAGCTCAAGAGGTGGAGGCTACGGTGAGCCATGATCGCACCACTGCACTCCAGCCTGGGCAACAGAGTGAGACCCTGTCTCAAAAAGGCAAGAAAAATGAAACCCTGCAGCCAACTGAGGAAAAAACATAAGAAGTTGTTGGAGGAACCGGAGTTCCACCACAGAGGATAACTGCCCCCAAAGACGGGAACACTTGCCTCGGTCTGCACAGCACAGATCCCTTCAGTAGACAGCTCCAGGTGGGAAGCTGATGGTAGTCACCTGATGAGCGTGGAATTGAGGACATCAGGAAGTGATGCTTGGCTCAGATGTTCAGTCACTCCATATTTTTGGGGTGACAGTTGTGTATGAGGCACCAGGCACTGGAGAAACAAAAGTGATGTTGGCCTAGTCCCTGTCTCAGAGGCACTAATGATCCAGTTGGGATCCATGTATTTGGATATTTGTAATACTTCCTAGTAAGTACAGCTATACACACTTTCATTAAGTCAATCAACAAACATTTCTAGTGTGTCCCAGGGACACTGAACAAGACAGATAAGGTTCTGGTGCTCTAGGAATGAACCTTCTATCAGGGGAGGCAGGAAACAGACATCAAATAAATAACTAGATGGTGACGAGTGGTATGATGGAAATGAACGTAGTCAAAGATAGAAAGTGTGGGCAAAGATGGCCTGGCTCGGGAACTCACATTTGCAGTAGACCAGAGTGGTGACGTATTCATCAAGACCAGCATTGCTTTGATTACAAGGAACACAAGGCCTAAGAGGGAGGGGGATTATTTTGATGATTTTACACTAAACATCATCCAGCAATACAGCTGACTTCAGGCATTGGGACCCACACAATGTCCTTAGGCCCAGTCTCTCTCCGTCCCTCACTCCTGCTTTGTCTGCTGGCTTCTCCCCCAAGCAGGCTCTCTCGCCACAGTGCTAGGACAAGGTACCAGCAGATCTGGGCTCATCCTTCCTACTTCAAGTAAAACAGAAAAGAAAGGACTTTTCTTCCCACGCGGTTTGAGCTCCCATGTGAGGCCTGTTTTTCTCGCTGGCTCTTGTTGGCCCCGTGCTTGTGTGTAAACCAGTTACGGCACCCAGGGTGACAGGACACCCTGATGGACCTAAGACTGAGTCATGTTGACACTAACATCAGGGAAGCACAGCCAGACCCCGGAGTCTGAACACCTGCAGTCACATCACGGTATTTAAACTCTGGGCCTTGTTTCCCCACCTGTCAAATGGGAATGGGGGTAGCGCCTGTCTCAGGGGGACCTTGAGATGAGCATTCCAGGCAGAGTGAATAGTGATGGGAAACAGAAGCCCCTAAGGAGTTGGGATCAGGGGCATGGAGGGTCGCGGCAGAAGGTATAGGAGGGGAGCTGGCCAGAAGCTGGACCGTGCAGGTGTGGATCGCGTGTGCCGGGTGGGCGGTGCTGTGTTGTTTTCTGTGATTCCTCCTAGGCACACAGTCCCGCCAGGGCATCCACAGAACTCACAGCCGCTGGTCCCTACTGCCTGCATTTTCTCCCCCGTTTTCAGTGCTGACTCTGATGGGCAGGTTCTCTCTCCAGCTTTGCTGATATCCCTGGTCTGCTTATAGTCGAGGCGCACTGGTCTGGGAGTTAAGGCTGGTGTTATTTTGGGTGACTTTTCATGTTTCTGCTTCGATCTATTCTGTGTTGATTTTTATTACTTAACACCCAGGGGAAAACCTTATTTCCCCATACGTTCAAGTTTTGGGGTGGTGCCTCACTCTTGCCCCGACCAGAGTCATCCCCAGCTAGTTCTGTGTTGGCAGGGCATAAAATCTGAAGCAGGTCATGTTAATATATGGGCCAAAGTGATCATTGGTGACTGTATCATATCATCCTCCAGCTAGAGGACATTTTAAGAGGTCCATTAGATGATTACTATTTAGGTTCTGAGAGCTAGATTCAAGTTAGTGCATTTTCATAGTAGTGGTTTTGAAGAGTAATTTTTAAATGGGTAAATTGCCCATACAAAAATAATTCCTAACTTACTTCCTTATATTTATGAATAGGTTTGTGTATCGTTGTATTACAAGCACATACATATACAGTTGGATGTCTCTTTTTAGTCTCTGCAGATGCCAAGTACTAAAATGATTCTTTCTTTTCATAAATAAAAGAAATCCACTCCAGGTATGAAGTCTATCAGGGAAGTAACTTACCATTGCCCTTGGACTGATTTCCTTTTGCCTTTGAGTTTATTCTGGAAATTGCAACATTTAGCACTTTGCAGTTTAATTTAAAAGGATTACCTATTTTCTTAAATGCTTAAGCAGGGAAGCAAGGTGCAGTTATTGATTTTTCTCTGCCTGTATTCTGTGAAAGCTCCTTCCCCAGGGAACATACCTCCTGAACTGCATGCCTGCTGGTGACAGCTTGGACCTCTGATACATAACCAAAGACCTTACCTAATATCCTTGCATCTGCTCCGGGAATTTTTATTAAGTAAAAGCATCATTAGAGTAGACAGGATGATGAAGTTTAATGAGCATCTTTTTTGCATGATATTGTTAGTTTTGCTCTGCCAGAATCCTCATTTCTCCCCTCCAGTGGGGCAGATCGTGAGTCTAGAATATATGGCTGTTTTGAAATCTGCCTTATATATTATAGCCTATTTTTCATATAGCTTGCTATCTGTCTTAAGCCAACTACACATTTCGTTGTGGCTGTTTATATAGATGCCATTTGTGCATGTATGTTTATACTTTCTTTCTCCACTATGTTGGGAACAGAAAGCAGGTTATAATGGAGAAGAATGTGACAGACACACGCTGCCATTCGTAAATTGCATGGAACCATCTCTTGGAGGTTTGATCTCAAAAAGAAAAAAAAACATTTCCTTTTGAATTAATGAGACTTCTCACAGGAATTAGGGTAACTGTTAATTTTTTTTCTTTAGGACTCAGCAATTTACATGCTCAGGTTCTGTCACCAGCCCCTGATAGCCGCCGGCTAGGAGAAATAAAGCTATTACAAGTGCTTATTAATAATCTCGGCTTCACACTTTGTCCACAGATCTATTTGCAGAGATTTTAAATTTAGCATCCTACCGGAAGATTACAGATTAGAAGCAAAATTATTTTTCTCCATTATTTTCACTGGCCATATCCTGAGATTTTAAAATTGGTTCTTTTCTTGGTCTGTATGAGGACTTGCCATGGAAACACCCAAAACAACAGTAGGGATACATATGACACGAGCAAACGACTTCAGAACAGCATATTGCACCTCTCATATACCTGGCATTCTGAAAGACAATATTTACATAGCACACAATGTGTTTCTAGCAGTGCCTGGAGTGTATAGACTACAAAAGAAGTTAAGCCTGCACTCCCTGCCCTGCAGAAAATGGTAGACTTCTTAAGAAAACAAAACCAAGATGGGAGATGAGGTAACTTAGTGCTTTCAGAGTTTGAACTTTGGAGTCATTGCCTGGGTTTATCGGAGCCTCAAGCTGCTAAGCCTCAATTTCCTCATCTGACAAATAATGATCATAATAGGAGCTTCCTCGCTGGGTTGTTGCGACAGTGAATAATGAATGCACGTTAGCTGCATTGGAAATGTTGTGCTGTGATCACGGCACTCTGCTGATGTTTTGAGGTAACATGCCAAGGTCAGGAGTCACTTTATGTATCATCAAGGACTTAGTGATGAGATCCTGATACATCCCGTAGGGCTTTGTGATGGCAGAATGGAGAAGGGGAGGAGGAAGCTGTGAAAGTCTTCAAGGCCTCAAAATATGGACAGAGGAGATCTCAGTTGCAGAGGGGACCTAAGCAGGCATTCCTGGCAGTAATAACACAGATAAGCAACAACAACAAAAACAAGCCAAAAGGAATGTTGGCTGTCAGGAAAGGCTTATCTCAGGCCTCAGATTGAGTGAGCCATTTTTTCATTTTTCAATGGGTGAGCCCAAGGCAACCTGATTACCAGTTCACCTGCCAGGGAGATAATGAGCGAATACTCCCCTTTTCCAGTTCCGATGGCAGAGGTTCTGGAAAGATATAGGACTCTGAGGCTACTCAGCTAATAGGTGGCAGAACTCACACTCACTCCATCTTTCCTGCACTCTGCCCTGCCTGCCTCAAGCCCAGCCTTACCTTGCACACGCCTGTTAGTGCAGAAAGAGAGGACATTAGGCGAGCCAGATTCCCCAGCCACATGCGCTGTGGCTGCTCCATGCCAGGTGCCAGGCTAGGTACCCCATCCAGGGGCCAGAGGTTGCTGTTTTTCATCCATGCACCAGGAAGAGTTCAGACATCCTGTGTAGGACACACTGGGAAGGGAAGTCACCTGCATCGGGAAAACCAAGAAGGGAACCATTATAATATTTGAATGGCCATGTGACATGGGCCTGATTAAAGAAGAAAAAAGGAGTGGATGATGGAAATAAATGAGGTACCATAAAACAGCTAATTAATGAGTTATGGGCCCTTTGAGGAGCTGATGAAAACTGTGGTCCCTTTCTGCCGAAATATACATATACAACTTTACTTAGAGTTTCAGACACTTCTAGGGTCCTAGGCTAAGAACTTCTACTGTAGAGGAAACTAAATTCCTATCAGACCTGATTAATATGGTGACCAAAAACAAAAAGAGGAGAATGTCAAAATAACTTAGCATTTGCTCCTGAAGTTCTGGAGACATGGAGGGACAGACCTGTGGAAGGTGGGGTGAGGGACTCTTCCCTGCCTTTTGGGGATTCATAGCCAAAGTGTCCCAGTGGGCTGATGAGGACTTGGAGAGCAGCTGCTCGGAGACAATCATTAAAGTTATAAAATTAGATGGAAAGAAGACACAAAGACAGACAGGACCAAAGAGGTGTCCAGAGAGAAAACAAGAACCAGGATGACATCCTAGAGCCAAGCGAGGACATTTTTAAGAATGAATGGCTCCGCGGGGTGGGGTCTTCCTTGCTGCTGCAGCAAAGGGATATGAGACCCTTGGATCTGACATAAGACTCAATTTTTCCAAAAATAAAGATGCCCATATTAAATAAAATCCACCTATCAGCCAGGCGCTGTGGGTTACACCTGTGATCCCAGCACTTTGGGAGTGTGAGGTGAGAGGATTGCTTGAACCCCAGAGTTTGAAACCAGCCTAGCAACATAGTGAGACCCCATCTCTACAATAAGATTTTAAAATAAGCTGGGCATGGTGATCTGCACCTGTAGCCCCAGCTACTTGGGAGGCTGAGGCAGGAGGATCGCTTGAGCACAGCGGTCAATGCTGCAGTGAGCTGTGATCATGCCACTGCATTCCTGGGTGACAGAGCAAGACCCTGTCTCAAAAACCACCCCCCCCTAAAAAAAAAAAAACACGTGTCAGTAATAGAAAATCATGCATAATATATCTGCTTAATCAAAAAAAAAGTTGCAAAATTTATTCTGAGTACAGTGGACTGGAATTTTTTGCTGTGCAATCTTAGCTGTCCAGGCGGTAGTGGTCAGTTGCACGGAGCTTGAAGCGGCCTGTCTGCAGGCTGTTTTAACAGCACGTCACCGAAGTCACCAGCCTGCCAACCCAGGCAGTCTCCAGGATCATTTCCCCATGATCCTTCTAGAAGTGGGCTTCAGCAGGGGTTCCTGGGGTGGCAGCTCAGGGCAGCGCCCACTCCCACGTTGGCATTTGGGCTTCACAGTGAGATCAAGAGCCCTTGTGAGCCTAGCAGACTGGTTCACTCATCTCCCACCACTGAGAGCGTCGCAGGCATCTCATCTTTGAAACCATCTTCAGTGACAGAAGCCTGTTCATCAGACTCTCAAGAGCAACTGATCCTCTTGTGTCACTTCAGAGTGCGGTTTCTCGTTTTTTTCCCACTTCTTAATCATCTCCCAATTCTCCTCTCCAAATCCCGGCTATCAGGGGAGAGATGCTCTAGGGTTCCATGTCAAAGGGTTTCCTCCAGTTCCTGGGCTAAGCATTTTACCCACCAGCCACTGCAGCCCCATGGGTGACCTTGGGCCAGGCTCCCTTTATCACTCTCCAGCTGTCATAGCCGAGTGGCAGTGCCCGCCGAAGCTTTCCCAGAAAGATCTACACCAAAGGCACAGGCTGGCAGTGCAGATTCCGGGCAGCACGAGGGCATGGCAGCAGCCTGCAAGAGGTGGAAGGAGTTGGCCCTGGTAGCCTGCGTCAGAGAAGCTTCCTAAGAGGTTAGAAGCGGCAGCTGTCATTCTGAAATGCCTACTGTGTGCCCAAGGGACAAGAGCGTTTCCCTAATTTAATCTTCTCCCAAGCTCTCCATGGTAGCTGGGAATCTTCATCTTCCTCTTGCATATGGAGACATCAGACTGTGGGAGGTGAGGGAGGTTCCCCAGGGCACACATCGTTCAGGGCTGAGTAGGGTGTCGAAGGCAGAGGTGGCTGTGAGTCCCAGAGACTGTTCTCCAGGAATCCCTGGTGCAGGATGTGGTGGGCTCCTGTAGGGCCAGACAGGTACCACATGAGCAGAGAGCTGCAGTGGCCCTGAGGGCACATGCTGTCTAGGAGGGGACAGTGGTGCCCGGGTTTGAGGGATGGTTGGCGTTTCCCAGGTGAAGGAGATGGAGAAGCTTTGTTCACCAAGGCCCTGGGGGAAAAGTACAAGTTACAAGAGGTCAGGACAAAAGTTTTTTGCCAATCCTGGCACTTCCCCGCATGGCCCTGCATGGTATGCCACACTCTTTCCTCTCAGGAACTGCAAGGAATAGGTTGTCTTTCAATGGCACTGACTGTTCTGTCCTCTGTAGTCAGTCACTGCTATAAATTCAATCCAGGTACATGCAAAACACAAGCCACGAGTGTTAGCTTCAGAGGATGGTGGGACAGGGACCAGCCAGTTCGTAGTAGCAAGGGGACAGTTTGCAAAGCTGTTTGCACTTCCTCTCGTAGAAACAACACCCATTTTTCCTTTGGGACACACCTTGCCTCTCTGCGTCTTGGTTCTTTCATTTTTCCATCTTTTTAATTTATCCCAGAAACTCATTTTCCCTATTGAAATTAAGCAGAATCCTCACGGACAGGCCACCCTGTCAGGCCCAGAGAGGCTCACCTACTATGTTAGTTCTCTATTGCTCTAACACATTACCAAGAACTTAGTAGTTGAAAACAAAACGAATGTATTACCTGACAGTTCTGGAGGTCAGAAGTCTGAAACCAGTGTTGCTAGGTTGCCTCTTGCAGGAGATTCTAGGGAAGAGCATTTCCTTGCTTTTCTGGCTTACACAGACCACCTGTGTTCCTTGGTTCATAGCCCCTTTCCCCATCTTCAGAGACTGCAGTGTAACATCTTCAAATCTCTTTCACTTTGACCCCCTGCCTGTTTTTATTTTTGATTGATTGTTAAGGTCTTGCCCTATGGCCAGGCTGGAATGCAGTGGTGTGATCACGGCTCACTGCAGCCTCAAACTCCCAGGCTCAAGCGATCCTCCCAATGCAGCCTCCCAAGTAAGTAGCTGGGACTACAGGTGTGCTCCACCACACCTGGCTAATTTTTTTTTTTTTACTTTACTTTTTGTAGAGATAGGGTCTCCCTGTATGGCCCAGGCTGGTCGTGAACGCCTGGCCTCAAGCAATCCTCCCGCCTTGGCCTCCTGAAGTGCTGGGATTACAGATGTGTACCCCTGCAGCTGGTCCCTCCTGCTGCTTTCTTATAAGGACCCTTTTGATGACACTGAGCCCACGGGATCATCCAGGATTCTCTTCCCAGCTCAAGGTTCTTAACTAAGTCATGCCTGCAGAGTCCCCACTGCCATGGAAAATAACAGTCACAGGTTTCAGGGATCAGATGTGGCCATCTTTGGGAGCTGTGATTCTGTCTACCACACTTACTTGCCCAGTTGAGGCCCCGTGGCTCGTAACTGGCAGAGCCAGGAATGGAACACCAGACTTTGGAGCTTGTTGTGACTGCACCGCCACTGCCATAGCCACATCCCTGTGAAAACGGCCACTTATGGCCGCTTAGTAAAACGCCAGCTCTCATCTGCCCACACAGCTGGAGGAGTTAAAGGATCGTGCGGCGGACAGCAGCGTCATCCAGCCCTGCCGATGACTCACTGAGGAAGTGGGCCATGCATTTAGCTCTGTCTTAGTTGCTTTCTTCAAAAAGGATTAAAACCTTTGTTCCAGAGGTGTTTGGGGATTTAGTGTTGATAGAAAATACCCTGTTATTTTGCAGGGGAAACAGCCCTAAAGAAGGAAGGTAATCATATAATTATCTTGATTTAATCACTCTTGACTGTAACTCCATGTCTGTCCTACTTTTCAATAAGCATTCGCTGACTGCTTCCAGTAGGTTTGCCATGGTGCTGGGCTTACCGAAACACCCTGCAAGGAAGACAAACGACATCTCTAGCTTACAGATAAAGAAACTGAGGCACGGAGAGGGAGGCAAACATTGCTGATCATTTGCCCAGAGTCATCAGCTAATAAACGTCAAAAGCAGGATTTGAGCAGCAAGTTCAGGGCCACTGGCTCCCACCTGGCCCTTTGTAGTGACTTGTTCTGCAGCCCCAGGATGTTCAGACACACACAGTGGGATCTGAATATAAAAAGGCAGAGACTGAAACAGTGGAACATTCCAGTTCGCTCCGAAAAAGGAGAAGAGCCCTGCAGCTTTTGCAACCCCTTCTGAAATCGCTTGCCTGGATCCCCATCGTCAGGGCCAAGCTGAACACCCACCTCAGCCCTTCCCGCATTCAACACTTGACTCGAAGCAGGGCCTTGTCAATTCCTCTCAATTCCTACTGCTCCTCTCCCTCTGCTGACCTCTTATCATTGCCAAGACTCTTTCCTTACACTCGGGTATTGCTAGGTTTCCATGGGCATGAACAGTGGAGTCATCTTTCTGTCAACTTTTAGAATCCTTACAGTTTGGAGGCCAGGTGCGTGGCTCACGCCTGTAATCCCAGCCTTTCCAAGGTGGGTGGATCGTTTGAGGTCAGGAGTTTGAGACCAGCATGTCCAACGTGGCGAAACCCCCTCTCTACTAAAAATACAAAAATTAGGCAGGCATGGTGGTACACACTTGTAATTCCAGCTACTTGGGAGACTGAGGCACGAGAATCACTTGAACTCGGGAGGCAGAAGCTGCAGTGAACTGAGATACTGCCACTGCACTCCAGCCTGGGTGACAGAGCAAGACTCCATCTGAAAAAATAATAATAATAATCCTTAAAGTTTGAAACTATCTTTGAATAAAAATGTACATACGTATTTTTTTGCTCTGTGCGGATAAGGGGTTTGGGAAACAGAGGAAAGATCTCTGAGGCTGGAAGGAAGCTGTGTGTGTAGCTGAAGCTACCTAGGCCGTAGGTGCCTGTGTGAAGACACAGAGTCAGACCCTTGCTTCCTGCCAGGTGAGGGGAGCTTGGAGACCTGATGCCTCCAGGGTTTATTACTCTGCAGTGCTAAGCCCTTGAGCATTGAGTCAGTGGCCCTGAGTAGATCAACATCTGAGGACAAGGGCAGGTGCTGTTAGAGGAGTACGCATGTTTCGGAGCTTGGAGGATGAGGAATAGAATGGAGGGATCTACTTTGAGCATTTCCTCTGCCTATCTGTTGTGTCTGGGAGAGATGCCGAGGAGGAGGAACACGGGTTGAGTCCACATGGCTAATGCAGGGTGGTCCTTAACTTCGACACCTGCAGAGCCCCTTTTGTCATGTAAGGTAACATACTCCCAGGTTTCAGGACTTGAACACAGGTATCTTTGGAAATTGGGGGCAGCAACAGAGACAAGGTTGGACCCGCTGAACTTTACTCCCTATCTAAACCAGTGGTCTCCCACCTGGGACACAGGACCCAGGACCCCCAGGTGCCCATGGCCTCGTCTTCAGGGGGACCCGTGACCCTTTTAAAAGTGTAGGTTGGGGGAGCCCCTATAGGTTGAAAAATGCGCTTTCATGGAGCAGATTTTTTTTTTTCTGAGACAGAGTCTCACTCTGTTGCCAGGCTGGAGTGCAGTGGTGTGATCTTAGCTCACTGCACCCTCTGCCTCCCAGGTTCAAGTAATTCTGCTGCCTCAGCCTCCTGAGTAGCTGGGACTACAGGCATGCACCACTATGCGCAGCTAATTTTTTCTTTTTTTTAGTAGAGATGGGGTTTCACCATGTTGGCCAGGATGGTCTCCATCTCTTGACCTCGTGATCTGCCTGCCTTACCCTCCCGAAGTTCAGATTCTCTTAAGGAGTTGTTTCTTCTTCTGTGGCTTCAGAGGAGGCACAGCCGGGCTGGTCAGGACAGGGCTACTGTCTCCATTACACAAGCAAAAAGGCCTCCAAACTAATTCCTAGAGATGTGGAAAGCCAATTTGCAGGCTCTTATGTTCTCTGTCTAGGACATATGGAAACTTCTTGATGCAAAAGAATGGCCTCCCCTTTTCCTGGAGTGCAATCCCAGCACCTGGCTGGATGTGCACGCTCCGGCTCGTAGGTCTGTCTCTGGCCAGCTCTGAACCCTGTGTTCTACACTCCGTGAGAGTGACCGCCGATGGAACCTGCTTGTACCGCCTCCAAGGCAACACTTGGAAGACTGGAATAGTTAGAATACAGTATGGCCTTTCAAAACCATAGTGTCCAGCTTTCCTGGATCACAAAATCAACTGGGCAGTTCCATCTGCCAGCCCTTCCCCTCTGCCTGTCAGCCATGGTGGAGATGTCATCAAGAACACTAGTATTGGACGCCAGGCACAGTGGCTCATCCCTGTAATCCCACTTTGGGAGGCCAAGGCAGGAGGATTGCTTGGGGCCAGGAGTGTAACACCAGCCTGGGCAACCTAGTGAGACCCCATGTCTATTAAAATAATTTTTTTGTTGGGGCATGGTGGCTCACGCCTGAATCTCAGCACTTTGGGAGGCCAAGGTGGGTGGATCACTGGAAGTCAAGAGTTCAAGACCAGCCTGGCCAACATGGTGAAACCCCATTGCTACTAAAAATATGAAATTAGCTGGGCATGGTGGTGCATGCCTGTAAGCCCAGTTACTCAGGAGGCTGAGGCAGGAGAATTGCTTGAACCTGGGAGGCAGAGGTTGCAGTGAGCCAAGATCACACCACTGCACTCCAGCCTGGGCAACACAATAGGACTCCATCTCAAAAAAAAAAAAATATATATATATATGATATATAATAGATAATATAGTATATTTTATATGATATATATGATATATTATCTATATGTATCATATATTATCTATGATACATATAATATACAGATAATATATGATATAGATAATATATGATATATATCATATATATCATATTATCTATCATATATATCATATAATAGATATTATATATGATATATATATTTTTTTTAATTAGCTAGGCATGGTGGCATATATCTGTAGTCCAGCTACTCAGGAGGCTGAGCCATGAGATCGCTTGAGCCCAGGAGTTTGAGGCTGCAGTGAGCTATGATCATACACTGCCCTCCAGCCTGGGGAGCAGAGTGACAGAGTGAGACACTCAGGAAAAAAAAAAAAATGCCGGACGCCAGTATATGCTAAACAGCCCAAGATGCCAGCATCCAGAGAGTGTGCATATTCCTTGTGTGGATGCTGGAGCTGGGCCACCTGGTACAGGGACGTCAGGCTCTGTGCCAACCCTCATTCACAGCAACTGCGGGCTGTGGAGCCGGGTATGCCCTTGCTGCAGAGGACCTGAGACACCCACCAGGCTCTCTTGGAGACACAGTTATATCAATAAAAGGAGTTAAGTTTGAGCTGTATTTATTTTAGGGTGGCTTTTAATTTGGTTTAATCAGAATTACTCATAAATTATCGATTAATTACCTTCTGCTGTTCAGTTAAATCCTCTCAGCCACGGAGCCAGCTTCGCTGCGCAATGAATGCCATCCACCGTAATTATAGGGCACTTTGTCAGCATTTAATCAGCGGTACTTATTAATGTGGCATTGATGTGTGGTGGCCAGCCCCACGCTATCCATCATGGGTGAGCAGCCAGCACAGATTTGGACACCATTGCTCTCTGTCCCATTAGCCAGCCCCTGGGCTTTCGGGCCAAGCATCATGCTCGCTTTTCACTAAATGGACACTCTGTCTCTTCCATTCAATCCCATTTTTATCACTGTCGACTTAAACACTCATAAGCTTTTGAACTTCAGTCCAGAACGGCTGAGCAGGGCCTGACCACTTCTCCCAGTGAGTGTGAAATCCCAAGAGACTGGTCCGTGATCGGACATCATGGCATGGCGTGCATGTGTAAGAGAATTTTATATTCAACACAGCGTAGCACCCAGAGAACACAGAAGTGATCTTTTGGTTTTCTTTGGCTTACTGAATATTTTTGGAGATTCTTCTATTCCTGAAAGCTCTTCCAGTGAAAGCTATCTTGTGTTGGCAAAATAGATCTGATAGTGTCCTTTCTCTGTCTTTGCAGCCTCTACGGCAGACACATGCAGGCCAACCCAGAACCACCGAAGAAGAATAATGACAAATCGAAAAAGATCAGCCGGAAACCCCTGGCAGCCAAGAACAGATAAGGAAGGGATTGGCATCGGCTGGCCTTCCAGCACCTTCTCTCTCCAACACTTCATTCTCTCTTGCCCTGTCTCTCAAATAAACCCAATGCTGCGTGTGAGGCCTTTTTTATTTTTCTTTTCACTCTCTTTCTAATGCTTCCCACCTTACCTTTTAGATTCTTTTGCTAGGTGGGAGATTGTTATAAGGTCTTTAAACCATTTCCATTTGTTTCTTTAACATTACCAAAAGCAGGGAACAAAGCTCTTATTCAACTGCGAATTCCATAGTGGGCTCTGGCTTTTCTTGAATAGATATCACAAGGTTGCTTATTATCAAAAGAATAATTAAAATCATGTAACCATTTAAATGTCACTGTTAACACTTTTCACTCTTTCTGTTGATTCACCTAACTCATTATTTTGCTTTATTAAAAGTCTTCCTTCACCACCGAGATATGCTAATTTAACTTACAAATGATTTTAATAAAATCTTGAGTTTGTATCACATGTTACTTATTGACTCAGAATAAAAGAACAGTCTGATCTTGGGGTATAACACATTTTCATTTACTTTTCTCCCCCAAAATCATCTTATCCAATTTTATTGGTTATACATGATAAACTTTTCATGAAAGAAATGCAAAATTAAATCACAGTTCGTTTCTTCTCACATTAATTTGTCAAGTTTTTTTTTTCTTTGAAGACTTTCTAAATTAGGAAGCAGAAAAACAAATCTCTAGGAGATTCTGCCAAAGGATTTTGGAAAGTAGCATTCCTTCGCCGAAGAAATGGTGATTTCTGCCAGGGGCTGGTAGACAAGAACTGTGAAAGAGAGAGAGAAAAAACCTCAACTGTGTATTTTGTCACGGCGGAAAATCTGCTCGCATCGAAGCATTCTTCTAAGCGACTTCGATGCCAAGGAAGTTGTGTAAATGTGCACGCGCTACACCACACCCAGGGTGGAAACCACAGTTGCAGAGTCATTAAACAATCAATTGTTTGTTTAACATCTGTGATAGGCAGCTTTCCTTCTTTTCAACAGTGATACCTACGAAAATCAAAATAAATGCAAGCTGAGGTTTTGTGCTCACTGAAAGGGCTGTCAACCCCAGAAGGCCGACACAAAAAAAATGGTATGTGAAGATGCACCGTCTTTTCAAATGGCCTGGGAGAGTCAAATGGCCTGGGAGAGGGGGCCTGCCCTTCTCTGCTGTGTCCTTTCGGCTTCCCAGTTGAGCTCCCAAGACCAGGACCCACTGGGGCATATAAAATCTCTGCTGTATCCTTTCGGCTTCCCAGTTGAGCTCCCAAGACCAGGACCCACTGGGGCATATAAAAAAGTCAAAAATCAAAATCAAACAACAAGTTCTGAGTTACTTAGGAAACAGACTTCGCATTTCAATCAGAGAGGCCACAGAGCAAGGTCTAAACTTCTGGCTTCTAGACAAATTCCTGATAGAACATTTAAATGTGGGAAGTGGCTTCCCCAGGTCCCATCCCCTGTTTAGGGATAGAGTTGATATCATTTTTATAGGTGCCATGTATGCCTCTGCCTGAATTTTTTTAATTGACTTTTGAGCTTTTGAGATTGCACGAGGGAGAACAAGGCCTTTGCTGTTGTGGATAGGAAAGACTTAACCTAAAATTAAACCAGCAAGAAAGCATTAGTAAAAATCTAACAATATGAAGGGCTCTTATGAGTCATTTTTTTCAAAAGATGAAAACTCCAGAAACGCACAGGAACGAAATACCTCCCAGAAACATGAAGCAATCATCGAAGACTCACTGGTAATATTTTTAAAAAGTATACAGATCAAAGCAAAAAGAAGCCATGTGTAACAAAGAGAAATGTGCAAATATTTTTTAAGGCAGTATTAAGTGCAAGAGGAGTAACATGAAATAAACATTCTTTCACATGGCTACTGGGAATATAAATTTCGCTCCAGAAAGGCCGTAGCAGTTTGACGATAGGTGGCAAAACCTTAAGATTGTGTACTGGGGCCCAGAATTTTTATTTCTAGGAATGTATCCTGAGGAAATTATCCGAGATCCCCACAAACTGCAATGTTTAGGAATTGTCCTTATAGCATTGCATACACAAGAAAAACAGAGAAAAGCCTGATCCCTGTCAGTGGAAAAGGGGTTCAATGAATTACGGTGTGTCTGCATGAGGCTTTTATGACATTAAAAATTGTTGAACAACGGCCAGGCACAGTGGCTCATGCCTGTAATCCTAACACTTTGGGAGGCCAAGGTGGGAAGATTGCCTGAGCTCAGGAGTTTGAGACCAGCCTGGGCAACACGGTGAAACCCCGTCTCTACTAAAATACAAAAAATTAGCCGGGCGTCGCAGCATGCGCCTGTAGTCCCAGCTGCTCAGGAGGCTGAGGCAGGAGAATTGATTGAACCCGGGAGGCAGAGGTTGCACTGAGCTGAGATTAAGCCACCGCACTCCAGCCTGGGCGACAGAGCAAGATTCCGTTCCCAAGAAAAAAAAATTGTTCAACAATAAGGGCAAAGGGAGAGAATCATAACATCTGATTAAACAGAAAAAGCAAGATTTTTAAAACTAACTATATAAGGATGGTCCCAGCTGTGTCAAAAGGAAGCTTGTTTGTAATACGTGTGCATAAAAATTAAATAGAGGTGAACACAATTATTTTAAGGCAGTTAAATTATCTCTGTATTGTGAACTAAGACTTTCTAGAATTTTACTTATTCATTCTGTACTTAAATTTTTTCTAATGAACACATATACTTTTGTAATCAGAAAATATTAAATGCATGTATTTTTCAAAATCAAATTGGTATGTCATGGTATATTATGCAATCCAGGAAATATATATTTAAGCTCAAGGCATAATATAAAATGTCAGGAGGGTTTTTTCTCTTTTTGTTACCAAAATGGATTTCACGTCTTTTCCTACAGTTTTTAGTTACTTGATATCTGGATCAGCAAACAAAATATCCAAAGTTTGAAAGGTGGCCTTTTTTTTTTTTGAGACGGAGTCTCTCTCTGTCACCTAGGCTGAAATGCAATAGCGTGATCTCAGCCTACTGCCACCTCCGCCTCCCGGGTTCAAGCGATTCTCCTGTCTCAGCCTCCCGAGTAGCTGGGATTCCGGCACCCGCCACCACGCCCAATTAATTTTTGTATTTTTAGTAGAGACGGGGTTTCACCATGTTGGCCAGGCTGGTCTCGAACTCCTGGCCTCAGGTGATCCATCTGCCCGCCTCGTCCTCCAAAAGTGCTGAAATTACAGGCATGAGCCACTGCGCCCGGCTGAAAGGTGGCCTTTTCACAAAGATAACCTAACCTTTTTAGCCCAATGATGAAATTAGCTGGCCCCCCCACCCCGCCTTTGATGCCTTGCAGTCTGGTCTTCCAAGTGCTAAGAGCCCACATGGGAAGCCGTGCATATTTTTTTATTCCTCATTCGAAACTTCTTCCACAGGGTTTCTCCCCTTTATGTAAAACACTGTCCTTGCCCACGTGGCTAGGTAGCTTAGAGATGTTATGCAAAATACTTTCATACACATAATCACATGGTTTGTGCAAGAGCCTTGTGGGATAGGTAAGGCAGGTTATTTGAGAATAAACTGTATAATGGTTCTCAGATCTAGGAGAGAAGTGTTTCTCTTTATTTGCTGGAGGTGATATAATGTTTATTAGGAGCCTTTTTTTTTTTTTTTTCAATTAAGGTAGGAGCAAGTAGAAAAAGTGGATGGGCCATTTGGCCACAGAACCACTTCTCTAAGCTTTGTACCGCCCTTATAATCTGTGGAAGCCACGTTAGGAAATACTCTGTGGGACAAAGCGACAGGCCCCCAGTCACATCAGGTTCACCCTTTGGAATAGAAGTGACTTGTACACCACTCTGCAGAAGTGAATCTTCACTTTGATAAACTTAAATGTAGAAGAGAAAATCCTGTGACTGCAGAGAACTGGGTTGTCCCAATCATTGTGTCCATATTCACTGAAAACACAAGTTGCCCCGTCCATGTTTTTTATCCTGTACTTTTACCTCCTTCTACAGACTCTGCACACAACACTTGTTTGTTGCCTCAGATTGCAAAGTTAAGTCACTAATAGTTCAGTTTCTAATAAAGCTTCGTAGTCATAATATCCCACAAGTACTATGTTAGAAAATCCTCTAGTCTCTACCTGCAAAACATAACATGAACTGAAGACTTTGCACCATCTTCTTCCACACTGGCCCAGGTCACCCTGCCTTCTTGCCTGCTCCACTCTGGTATCCTCTGGTGGGGCTCCTGCTTTTGCTCTTGCACTGAGATCTCCATGCAACAGAGCAAATTTTTATGTGCTGACATCACATCAGGACGCTCTTCTGCCCACTGTCTTCCAGTGAAGTCCCCTTGTGTCTTTCACTCAGAGTGAAAGCCTAGGTTACCAGGGTCTAGGGTCCCCCTACTCCTCCAGGTTCTTCCCCCTTCAAGACTTTTGTGCAGGTGATCCTTTTCTAGAATGTTCTGCCAAATGTATACCTGTAACTCCTTCATCTACTTCAAATCCTGGTTAAACAGTCACTTTCTCAACAGAGCCTCCCCTGATTACCCTGCTTTAAATTTGCAATTTATTTTGTCCGTCACCTGCCTTCCACCCCCAGCGAAGTAGAGGTTCCTCCAGGAAAAGGGTCAGCCAGCTACAGCTCAGAGGCACCCAGAAGCCAAACCTGGCCCACGCCTGTTTTTGTAAATAAAGTTGTGGGAACACAGCCATTCTCATTCACTTAAGGTCTGTGGCTGCTTTTTTCTTTCCTTTTTTTCTTTTTTAATTTTGGAAAGGGAGTCTCCCTCTCTTGCTCAGGCTAGAATGCAGTGACACAATCTCAGCTCACTGCAACCTCCACCTCCAGGATTCAAGTGGTTCTCATGCCTCAGCCTTCCAACTAGCTGGGATTACAGGTGTGCACCATCAGACCGAACTAATTTTTTTTTTTTTTTTTTTTTTTTTTTTTTGAGACGGAGTCTTGCTCTGTCTCCCAGGCTGGAGTGCAGTTTGGCTCACTGCAAGCTCCGCCTCCCGGGTTCACGCCATTCTCCTGCCTCAGCCTCCCGAGTAGCTAGGACTACAGGCACCCGCCACCATGCCTAGCTAATTTTTTGTATTTTTAGTAGAGACGGGGTTTCACCATGTTAGCCAGGATGGTCTCCATCTCCTGACCTCGTGATCCGCCCACCTCTGCCTCCCAAAGTGCTAGGATTACAGGCTTGAGCCACTGCGCCCAGCCTAATTTTTATATTTTTAATAGAGACAGGGTTTTGTCATGTTAGCCAGGCTTGTCTCGAACTCCTGGCCTCAACTGATCCATCTGCCTCAGCCTCCCAAAGTGCGGGGATTACAGGCATGAGCCACCATGCCCAGCCAGTCTGTGGCTATTTTTATGTGACCACAACAGAGCTGACTGGCTGACACAGAGACCTTATGGCTCACAAAGCAAAAGGTTTCTACTATCTGGCCCTTTGCAGAGAAACTTCTGCTGATTATTCTATCAACTGTTACATCCCCAGCACCCAGAATGGTGCCTTGTATACAATAGGGGCTCAATAATTATTTAATTGAATAGACTACAAATTGGATACTTGTGATTTGGATGATATAAAGCTAATATTAAGGTAGAGGGAAGGGAAAAAGTCCTAGACATCCCTTTTATACCTCATCATTCTGGGCTACTTTATCAAAGCTGAATTCTCCTAAGGGAAAAAAAATGTATGGATATTATTACAGGTGAGAATTTATGCAACCCTGTTAAGAGTTCAAACCTTTACCTGGATGTTTGGTTTTCCTTATAATTACACAATTGTTTCATACTTGACCATTTAGCCTTCCTCAAACAACCATCAATTTCTTCAGTAACAAAACCAGAAAGGGCTGGCACCCCAATTTACCTGTATGAACCCAGAAGAAGGGTTCATGTCAAAGCCAAAATCCAAACTGGCCTTGTCAATGTGAGTCAATTCAGATGTTTAGAAGCAGCAGAATTGGCAAGTAAAGTGAAAAGTCTCTGTTCTCTGGACATTTTGTGACCTAAAATTAGACATTAATCATTCCTGTGTGTATCTCTCCATTTATAGTATCATGTGATCCTACCATATATGGTGTGTCCTTATTTTTATAATTGATCTTCCCATCAACAACAGCTTTGGGAGACTCCTGGGCTCTAACATCATGTTTCTGTTAAGACTGCATAAACATTTTGTGTATTACCTCTTTCTTACCATATGCTTATTTTGTACACAATAGAATTTGGTGATTGGCCACTGTTAAATTTCCCTCTTAATCTATTTTCTTTTACTAATAATAGCACTCATTGATTGCAGCCTGTTCATGTATCAGGCACTTTGTTTCCTTTCATTCTCACTCAATGGATATCCTCATCTTGTGGGAAATTTGACCTCAGAGAAATTAAGGAACTTCCCGCAAGAGCCCACAGCTGGCAAGTGGCAGAGGAAGGATGGAAAAGAACATGCATTTGACTGTAGAGCTAATGTCCTTTCCTTAATCCCACATCACACTCTGCTGTCAATCAAGACTCCCTTGGCCTATCCAAAAGGCAGCAATTTTCCTTCCGATGAAGGAAGTTTCTGCTTTTGAGCTCCTTAAGTGTTCATTTTATTAACACATTCAAGTTACTGCATGATGACAGCTTTACCCCATTTCTATAAATGACAGAAACCTTTGGTTTCTGCTGTCTCTGTTCCTCATGCTTGGTCAGGCGACAGCATCTCTCTGATGGTTCAGTGATGGATTGACCAAAGCGGATAAGCCTCACTTCTGAGAATAACTTTGCCCTTTCCCCGTCTCATCCAGAAATTCACTTCCAACACTGTCCTATCAGTGAACTATTTTACTCCAAAGGGGATTCCCTCATATGACCCACCCAAAGAGCAGCGCTTCCTGAAATAGATAGAGAGTGGCTTTGGGTTTCGTTTTGAGGCAGGTTTGGGCTAGCATCATCAGACCACCTGGAGACTTTGTTTTTTAGTCATTCAATCAGAGACTGAGGGCTGGGTGAGGTGGCTCACATCTGTAATCCTAGCACTTTGGGAGACCACGGTGGGAGGATCGCTTGAACTCAGGAGTTAGAGACCAGCGTGCAACATAATGAAACGCTGTCCCTACAAAAAAAATTTTTTAGCCAGATGTGGTGGCACAGGCCTGTGGTCCCAGCTACTCGGGAAGCTGAGGTGGGAGAATCACCTGAGCCTGGAGATGAGAATTGCAGTGAGCTGTGAACTTGCCACCGCACTCCAGCCTGGGTGACATGGTGAGACTCTATCAAGGAAAGGAAAAAGGAAAGGAGAAAGGAAAGGAAAAGAAAGGAAAAAGGTAAAGAAAAAGGAAAAGGAAAAGGAAAACCAGAGAGGAGAGACCGCATCTCATCCATCCTGGTCTCACAGCTAGTGAGTACCTGAAACCTTGGACATTCAAACATTATTGCATGCATGTTCCGTTTCCACTGGAAATTTCTAATGCCCTACTGACATTTTTCCCTAAGCATTTATACTCCCTCTATAAATGGAGAGACCATGTCCTGTGATGGGATATAGGAGTCAGCCAATATCTCTATGTTTTCAGACCCAGGAATTGGGAGTGAATTAAGCAATCAGGGTTGGATACAAATATAGCATTATCAGAAAAGACTTGTAATTAGAATTGCTCATCTCCAGTTACTTATGGTTTGTGTCAGACCCTCCTTAGAATCAACAAGACTTCAGTTACATAGCTGACATACACACAGCTCCCTGGGGTCAAGAATTGTGCTGTCCCCCAACGTCCACCCCAGGAAGCCTCCCAGTGTCTGCATTCAAAGGACCAACTTTATCTGTCTCTGGAGACACAGTCTTCTGTATACATCTACTGCCCAGCACATTCTGATGCTGCCATTTCCAGTGTACAGATGTTGTCAGCAAAACTGACTCCTTCCTGCCCTAGGAAGAAAGCGCTTCCACTCACTAATAGCTGAAAGCAGGGAAAGAAGCACAGTCCATTCATAACTCCCCCAGAGCGCCACCCAAAATAGCCCTGCCACACCAGGTGGACAATCTCACTGTTTGTGTGGGCTGCTGTATTTGTCATTGTGCAATCAGGATTTTAACAAAGAGCCACTTTTTAACTCGCCGTGCACAATGCAGCTGTGAAACCAGTATTTTCATTAAGGAAGGCTGGGTCTGAGATGCAGATCATCAAACCATTTAGCAGCTCCAGTGTGACGTGGAGCTTTGCTGTTGCCGGTTAGGATCAGTAACTGGAAGGATTTGAATGAAAGGCCATAAAGACATGAGGCCAGGCACAATGGCTCATGCCTGTAATTCCAGCACTTTGGAGGCCAAGGTGGGAGGATCTCTTGAGGCCAGGAGTTTGAGACCAGTCTTGGTAACATAGGGAGACACTGTCTCTACAAAAAAATTCTTTTTTTTTTTTTTTTTTTTTTTTTTTGAGACACAGTCTTGGTCTGTCACGAAGGCTGGGGTGCAGTGGGGCGATCTCTGCTCACTACAACCTCTGCCTCCCAGGTTCAAATGATTCTCTTGCCTCAGCCTCCCAAGCAGTTGGGATTACAGGCATGCGCCACCACACCCAGCTAATTTTTTTGTATCTTTAGTAGAGACGGGGTTTGGCCATGTTGGCCAGGCTGGTCTTGAACCTCTGACCTCAGGTGAACCATGCACCTTGGCCCCCCCCAAGGTACTGGGATTACAGGCGTGAGCCGCCACCATGCCAGGTCTAAAATAAACATCCTAAAAATTAGCCAGGCATGATGGCAAGCACCTATAGTCCTAGCTACTTGTTTCCTAGGCACACTATATTCAAATACCACCAACGTGGTGGCTTGTATTCTCTAACATTGCTCTTCACCATGAAGAGCAATTAGCACAAATTGAGTTCACCATTGCACCGATGTTTCATAAACTGTCATAAAATCAGAGCTCTACAAAGACACTAATATGAAATATTTAGAAATAGTCCTTGCAGATGTAGTTAGTGATGTTAACTACATCACTAGGTAGGCTGGGGCTGGAGGATTTCTTGACCCCAGTAGTTCTAAGCTGCAGCAAGCTATGATCATGCCACTGCCCTCCAGCCTGGGTAACAGAGCAAGACCCTAGCTAAAAAAAAAAAAAAAAAAAAAAAAAAAAAAATGGTATGAGAAAGTAGTTATTTAAACCTCAGGTGTGTAAAAGATACTGGTGTCCCTGCTGGCTGGGAAGACCCCGCAGAGAGTTGGTCACACTTGCCTGCCTTGGACACTGTTCTGGGTTGAAGAGTGTGTCTCAAAGATTCATGTCCACCGGAACTCTCAGAATGTGACCTTATTTAGAAATAGTCTTTGCAGATACAGTCAGCCATGTTCAAATGAGGTTATTCTGGATTAGGGTGAGCTCTAAATCCAATGACAGTGTCCTTATGAGAAGGCTGTGTGCCAACACAGGGACATGCAGGGAAGAGACCACTTGATGAAACAGGCAGAGATTGGAGGGATACAGTAATAAGCCAAGAGAGCCTAGGACAGCCAGAAACAGGAGAAGCTGAAAGGGGCATGGAAGGGTCCTTCCCGTGAGACTTCAGAGGGATCGTGGTCTTCCTGACACCTTGATTTTTGGACTTCTCACCTCCAGAAATGTAAGAGAACACATTTCTGCTAGTTTAAGCCACCACGACATTGGTGGTACTTGGATATAGTGCACTTAGTAAACAAACACAGGCGCCCAGAACGAAGCTCAGAGCAGACGCTGCAACATGAAACGTTGCCTGCAGTGGTTGCCACTGTACTCAGAACAGGGAAGCCAGAGCAAACCAGGGCTGTCTGGCTCTGCATTCCGTTGTTGGCAGGCGCAGAACTATGTGTGACCAACTGCCTTGGATGAGGCAAATCAGCCTGGGCAGTGAATCCCCCGGAGTGCCTTGGGGACATTCTCTACCCCAGCCTTGTGTTTCCGGCTCCCCATTTAAGAACCCAAATGGGGCCAGGCACCGTGTCTCATTCCTGTAATCCCAGGACTTTGCAAGGCCAAGGCGGGCAGATCACCTGAGGTCAGGTGTTGGTGATCAGCCTGGCCAACATGGCAAAACCATGTATCTACGAAAAATACAAAAATCAGCCAGGCATGGTGGCAGGCACTTGTAATCTCAAATGCTTGGGAGGCTGAGGCAGGAGAATCGCTTGAGCCCCAGAGGCGCAGGGTGCAGTGAGCCGAGATTGTGCCATTGCACTCCAACCTGGGCAACAGAGGGAGACTCTGTCTCGGGAAAACAAAACAAAACCAAACCTGAAAGGTTCCTATTTCACCAGGTAGCTTCTGTTGCTAAAATAAAGTCTAAGAACAGAATTATCTCTTCTGTGGAAAGAAAATCTTTTTGGTTACCTCATTAAAGAATTCTCCTTTCTTTGTAGGAGTTGGGTGACATTCTATAATCATTGTTGATTTTCTGATCCAGAGCTATAAACAAAGACAAAAAGATTCAATATGAAAAGGTTTGTTTTTGTGTTTTATTTTTCCTGAGCTGGCTAAATTATGGGTTTTTTGTTGTTGTTGCCTAGGTAAGGCTTACTCAACACAGTTTTATGAACAGAATGAGAAGCTCTCATCTAATTGCCCCCATGAAAAACTGTCACAATGGGTTTGTAATAAGAGTGATTCATGAATTAATTCATCAAAAGACTATTTGTTGAACATATGTGAAATATATGCTTATATATTCACAGATTATCCCAAGAATGAGATCTAAGCAATGTAACAGAGGTTGCATCTGGGGATAGAAAATGAAGACTTATTTTTACTGTATACCCTTTTTAAAAAAGCATCAGTGTGACAATCATCATTGTGATAATCATCAATGTGTATATATATGAAATATTTAGAATTAAGTTTTTAATATGGCAATGTTTCTCTGAAATATATATATAATACACACACACACACACACACACACACACACACACACACACACACAGTTTTCGAAACAGAGTCTTGCTCTGTTGCCCAGGTTGGAGTGCAATGGCATGATCTTGGCTCACTGCAACCTCCACTTCCTGGGTTCAAGCGATTCTCCTGCCTCAGCCTCCCCAGTAGCTGGGATTACAGGGGCGTGCCACCATGCCCAGCTCATTTTTGATATTTTTAATAGAGACAGGGTTTCACCATGTTGGCCAACCTGGCCTCGAACTCCTGACCTCGTGATCAACCCACCTCTGCCTCCCAAAGTGCTGGGATTACAGGCGTGAGTGACCACACCCAGCCCTCTAAAATATTTTTAAAATAAATACTTATTGGGTGCTTATTACATGTCTATACTGCACTGATTATGAAACATCCATACACTTTTTTTTTTTTAACTTTTAGGTTCAGGGGTAAATGTGCAGGTTTTTTATATAGGTAAACTCTTGTCACAGGGGTTTGTGGTACAGATTATTTCATCACCCAGGTACTAAGCCTAGTACCCATTAGTTACTTTTTCTGATCCTCTCCCTCCTCCCACTTCAGGCAGGCCCCAGTGTCTGTGTCCATGTGTTCTCATCATTTAGCTCCCACTTGTGAGTGAGAACATGCTGTCTTTGGTTTTCTGTTCCTGCATTAGTTTGCTAAGAATAATGGCCTCCAGCTCCATCCATGTTTGTGCAAAGGACATGTTCTTGTTCTTTTTCATGGCTGCATAGAATTCGATGGTGTATATGTACCAGGTTTCATTTATCCAGTCTTCCACTGATGAACATTTAGGTTGATTGCATGTCTTGAGCATATAGTTTTAAATGAAGCAGACACAATCTCTGCCCTTATGGAACTTAATAGCCTAGCGTAATGGAAGAAACTATAAACTAATATTCACAAAATAATTGTGTCAATCAGAATTGGATAATTATCTGAAAGAGAAGAATTTGGTACTGTAAGAATGCATAATAAAAGGGACCAAGTAAGATCAGAGCATCATGGAAAACTGTTGAGGGAATTATGAGTCATCTGAAAGAAAGCAGAAGTTAACTAGACAAGAAGAAGGAAATTAGCGGCATGATGAAGCTCTTCAGCAGAACAGGAGCGTGGTCTGTTTCTCTAACTGGAAGAAGGTCAGTGTGGCTGGAGCAGAGTGAAGAGGTAGGAAAGAACAGGGACAAGACCTTGCAGGATCTTTATTCATTCAACAAGCATTCACTGGGCACCTACTCCATGCCTCATGCTGTTCCCAGCACCAGGGACACAACAGTGAACAGACACAGGGCTATTCCAGCCATCTCATGGAGGTTGGATTTGCTTACAAACCCAAAGGGAACCCACTGAAGGATTTGAAGCAGAGAATCCATATGATCCCATGTAGTTATTTAAAAGACCACTTGGGAGAGGTGGAGAATAGATGTATCAGACTGTCTTGGCACAGTAGCCCCTGGGTGATGAGCTGTGTCAGGCCATTTTCTGCATGGAGACCAAGGTGAACAAGACCAGCATTTATTTTACTGGCCTTAAATAGCAAAATGGCAGCCATTCTATTCCACAGCAATGGTATATCCATACCCATTTCCATTCTTGTAGAAAACCAAGAACTGGGAAGATGGCATTTAATCTGGTTATTGGTTTTGACTGCTAACTTTTTAAAAGGGTAATAAACTTCTTTTCAGCATGAAGACCAATTAGCACAAATTGAGTTCACCACTGCACCAGCATTTAACAAACTGTCATAAAATCAGAGCTCTACAATGACACTAATCTGAGTCCAGGCACCAACTCGTCACACTGAATCAGATAATGACATTCCTGTTATAAGACAACTTTCATTTTGCCATTTTACCCTTCAAGGGCACTAATACAGCCCTCCTAGCTTCTCATTGATTTCTTTTTCTATATGATTTCTGACTGCAAGAGAACAGAGATCACCAACTTTATAGAGATCATATGTACACATTATAAAAGAGTTCTTACCACATTTACATTTTTCACATTTTCCCAAGAATGCTTCCTTGCATATAGTTAGCAACTTATGCCATTATATATGGAGACAAGAGTAGATAGATATAAGTTTCCTACTCAGCCAATTTCGTTTAATCAAAGTTTTGGGAAAAAAAAAATACTGTCATCATCTTATCCACATCCCCCTCCTCCTCTTATACAAAGATCATAGTCTGAAAACTGGATGTCAGAGAACCTTGAAGGATGTGCTCAGGCAAGGCTTCCAGAGAACATCTTGTTCAGTCCCTTTATTTGGCTGATGAGAAAATAGAAGCACAGAGACAAGTTGAGTGATCCCAGAAATTCAAGAGTCTCACAGCAGATTAGTGGCAAAATAAAAGACAAGAATCTGGACATCCAGACATCATTAAAGAATCATCTCAGTAAAATACTAAAGAAGAATAGAAACAAACCAACGAAATGTATGCTAATGTGGTCTATCCTCAGAATTTCTTTTTTTTATTGTTTTCTTTTTGAGACAGGGTCTCATTCTGTCACCCACGCTGGAGTGCAGTGGCATGATCATGGCTCCCAACATCCTTGACATTCCAGCCTCAAGCGATTCTACCGCCTCAGCCTCCCAAGTAGCTGGGACCCTATGCACGCATGAATCAATCAATCTATCTATGTAATATATATGTATATATGTAATACATATATACACACACATATATATACACACATACATATATATATGTGTGTGTATATATATACCTCACTCTCCTGAAAAGTGGGAATGACAGTATCTGTAGCTTTTGTCTCTTTTATGAGGAGTTGAATGATTTAGGAGATTTGCTATTTGGAGACTGCATGGAGTTACCAACAGCAAAGTGTCAGTAGCCTAAGAACGTGGCATAATGGTTATTGTGCCACAGTGCAAAACACTCAGCCCCACTGTTGGATTTGAAGGCAAACCACCAGGGTCAAGTCAAGCTGATTCAAAGCCCACATGGTAAAAGCCCTGATACCTGGAACATGATATAACAAGATGTTTATTTGGATAACGTCAGAGACTGATTGAGGTTGGGGTGAAAATACAACCCAAAAGACCAAAAACAACCCCCTTTCATTAATTATCTCAGAAAGGCACAATAAGAGCTCATGCAAAGATGAGCGTATTTTGTTCAAAACCAATGAGAAAGATCAAGTAAACCGAAGGGCTAGTGAAACAGAGCTGGTAGTTTCCTATACCTTTTGAAGACTGCCTGAAGCAGAGAACTATATTTGAGTTAAAAATCCATCTCAATTCCCTTAGCAGACACATATATTTCCAGCAGGTCTCTTGTAGACCATTCTGTTCATTTGGAACTAGATTTCTCTCCCAAGCTAACAGAGCCAGAAGATAAAGGAAGAGAACTAACTATGGTTTGACCTGGTCTCTGATATGTTCTGGCTCCTTACACATTGTTTCAGTTAAATTCAAATAACCCCAGCATAATATGGCACTGCTAAGTTGTATGTTTACATATCCCCACCCATTGATCTTTTTCATTCACCCAGGGTGGGACAAACATTAAACCTGTATGAAATGAACAGCAGCATCCTGTTACATCTTTTCCTCCCCTACTCCCTCTCTCACCCCTATAAACCCTCGATCTCCTCTAAAACAAGGATACAAACCCCAAGCAGCTCTCCCTAAGAGGGAGCTTGAATCCATAAAAAATAAGGAATCCCCAGAATAACTAATTATCTAGAAAGATGTTCGAGGGATAGCCCTTGAGTAGCCTTGTTCATGGGCATCAAAAGCCTAGAACTGCCAGAATAACATGGAGGAGGCAGGTGAGGGTAGCAGAAAAATTGTCGTGGAAAATCTGCATGACAATAAAAAATTAACAACCAGAATGATGGGAGTCACATTTTCATTCAGTATTGTTTGAAGTAAAGGCAAATCATCCTAAATTGCCTTCATCATGCCTCTATTTTGGACACGTAAATTTGGTTAAAGTTTTTTGTTTGTTTTCCAGTCAGATCAACTGAAATCCTCCTCTTAAGGGTGTTCATTTCTCCTCCCTCTGGAAATACACAGCCAAGGAGCGGACTTCTGCCCACTTTTCAACAGAAAAGTTTAACGTGGCAGAAGTTTTGAGAATGATGTTGTCTACCATAATTTTATGCTTAGATCTGTGTGTGGCGCAAGAGTTGTTAAGCATCGGTACAGGCTCTAGCTAAATTCCACTGCTTCAAAGGTGCCTAGGGAGTGAGCTCTGAAGCTTGCAGAGTCACAAAAGGGTTCTGCACTGGGTGGAGGGGGTTGACATTACGGAAGAGTCTGTTATAGATGTGAACCTCTTGCTGTATTTCAAAGGCTGTGTTTCTTGAAACATTTTAATGTCCTCCCTCAGTTGGAATCATCTGTGTCCAAAATAACAAATGGTCCCCCTATTTCCCCCCGCCCCCCAGCTCTGTATCTCAGGAGGCTTGCTTTTTTGAAGTAGATGGAAATTGGTGTGGAAATCATGAGGTTTAGAGAAGAATCAAATCAGCCATTCAAAGCTTCCATCAACCCCTGGGCCCCCTCTAAATTGCTATTTCCATGTCACAGAATTTTTTCATTTTAAAACATTCTGAGATATTTTCATGGTGTTGTGGCTAACCATTTTTAGTCAGTTAAAAAAATGCCTTTATCACCTCCCACCAGGAAACTCATGGAACACACTGTTGGAGATGTTAAAACTTTTTTTTTTCATTTTCTCCTTTAAAAATATTAATGGTAAGCATTAAAAAAGAAACGAAAAGTCTTTAATTTGGTTTTCAGACAGCTTAGTTTGAAATTAAAAATTGTTCATATCACCGTGAATCAAGCATCTGTGAGTAATCACCGTGAACCAACCTGATCATTTTTATCAAACAGCAGGGTAGATGCCAAGTTCTCCATTCCACTGAGTGGGTGTAAAGTGCCAGTGTGCACTGGTGGAAATGGCTCTGGGTTGGAGGGCTCTGAGTTACAAAATTAAAAAGCTTCAGTTCACAAACAGTAAGAGGTCTGGTGGATGAGAAAGACAAAAGAAGAGGAAGGTAGCCAGGAGCTAGTATAAATGAAGAAGCCAAGACCAGACAGCTTCTCAGCTTGGCATAATGAAGAAGGCTGCTATCCACCTGATGAGCAGGAGTCTTTGTTAGGTCTCCTCTCAGTTTCCATCTCTTTCCAGCAATGAAACTCAGGGCTCCCTCCCATCCAGCTTCCCTCCAGGCCAGGGGCAGAGTGACTGTGGTCCTAAATGACCATCCAGATGATCTTTGTGTTTCCCAAAAGCAGCTGAGAGTGCTCACTCAACTTTTCATAGCTTACAAACCCTTCCTGCATCCAGAAGAGCTTGAAAGTTGGTAAAAGGTATTATGTTTTGCTTTGGTTGGTGGACTACATAAACCATGGCCAACTTCCAGCCACAGTCTCTCATGGAAGAAAAGGATGGCAACAAGACAAAAATGCACTCACAAGCTCCTGGCCATTGGTATTTTCCCCCATTGTGGGAAGAAATGCAAATGAATACAATATGATTTTCCCCCTTTTTCTTAAAAAGAGCAAGAAAATAAGTGAAATGAAGTTGGAAGGGAAAAGAGTGACAGAAACAAAACCAAGGAAGATAACATAATTATTTTTAGAAATAGCTCAGTATATGCACAATTTCCACAACAGCTTTCACCTCCAAGTGGATCAGAAATCCACCCGTAGTCAGAGAAAGGGAATGTGCTACATAGAAGGGAGACCCAGTACACTGAACACTTGGCCAAGTTCTTATTTCCTCACTTATTTTCTCTCTCTGGAAAGATTATTTTAAAATCTTTTTAAAGTCTTTAGTAAACAGACACGTGAACTAAAGCACATAAATGAGTAGTGCTCTTAGGGTGAATTATACCTCCCCAAAAATTCGTATGTTGAAGTCCTCAGCAATGGAACCTTATAGTGTGACCTTATTTGGAAACAGAGTCACTGCAGATATATTTAGTTAAGATAAAGTCATACTGGAATAGGGTGAGCAACTGATCCAATATGACTGATGATCTTATTTCTTTTAATGTTATTAAAAAGAGAGACATACAAAGAGAGAAGATAATGGGAAGAGACACAGGGAGAAGATGAATCTAAAGCCAAAGAGAGAGGTTAAGATGGATCCCTCCTTCTCAGCCCTCAGAAGGAACCAACCCTGCTATCATCTTGATATCAGACTTATAGCCTCCAGAACTATGAGACAATAAATTTATGTTGCTTAAGCCACTCAGTTTTTGAGACTTTTGTATTAATCTGTTCTCACTCTGCTAATAATGACATACCCGAGATTGAGTAATTTACAAAGGAAAGAGGTTTAATTGACTCAGTTCTGCAGGGCTGGAGAGGCCTCAGGAAACTTACAATCATGGCAAAAACAAAAGCAAACACATCCTTCTTCACATGGTGGCAGCAAGAAGTGCTGAGCAAACGGGGAATAGGCTCTTGTAAAACCATCTGATCTCATGGGAACAGCATGAGTAACAGCCTTCATGATTAAATTATGTCCACCTGGCCCCTCCCACAACATGTAGGGATTATGGGAACTACAATTCAAGATGAGATTTGGGTGGGGACACAGCCAAACCATAACACTTTGTTATGAAAGCTCTAGCAATCCAATATAAGAAATTTCTTTAGAGCAAGATAGTATCACATAATATCAAAAGTAAATGAAAGCTAAAATCCATTGAGCAATTTCTAGGTGCCAAGGCCTATGTATTGTATATGCATCACTTCTGTTAATCCTCACAGTTTCAATCTTCAGTTGCATCAGGATTTGATGGCTGGAGCTGTGGCAGCCATTTTTATCCACAAGTGTGAAGACTGAAGCCAACATACTGAACCCATCAGGGTTGAAAGACAGAAAAATCTGAGTCTCTCATGATGACATTGGGCCACTGAATCAACCAACTCTAGAACCCTCTATATCTTGAGACTTTTTAAATGCAAGATATTATTTAAGCCACATTTTGTTGGAACTTCTGTTACTTGCAGTCAAAAGCATACCAACTGATACACTTCCCTCCTAGTAAATGTTTTTTTACTAACTTTCTCCAAAGGTAAGGGTTATGTTATGCTAATTTTTACATTTCTAGATCCAACCAAAGGGACCATCATATGGAGGTAAAATTCAATCAGCATTTGTTGAATAAGCAAACAGGTAAATTTCTCCTCAAACAGATGTCAGTGGTGTTTGACAGATGGAGAGATGAAAACTCCATGAATTTAACTGATTTGCTGAAGACCATGCAGTAGTTCAGTGATTCAATGATAAGGCAGGAGTCCCGTGACCACCTCACTTTCACACTGCACTGCCTCTTTTACCATTTTGTATAATTATGGAATGTTCCCTATAATTCTCTAATATTCTCTCTTCCTTCTCCTCTGCAATACTTTCAACCTGTACACGATGTCCATACTTCCTACTTGTCCATTGTTTAGAATTTTGTTTTTTCTGCCTGTGAATACTTTACTCATTTGTATAAGTAAAAGTCTCAAAGCCAGGGACCATATCTGTGCTGTTATCTCTGTGCAACACCCGATATAGCTCAACTTTAATTTGTCAATAAATAAATCTTCCTGGATGATGATGGTATCTGAAAACATAAAATGAACTCTGCAGAGAAATAATCTTCTGTTCTCAGCCCATATCCTATATCCTCTTCAGGAGGGAATGGCTAAATGAGAAATTAATAGGATTGGAAACATGTAGTACCTGTGGACTGAACCACATAGATTTTTTTTTAAAGTTTGTGAGTTTATGACCTTTGTACTTTGTGCAAGTTGTAGTTGTGGAGAAAGTAGTCACACTGTTCTGAAGTCGTATCTCCACATTTGGGACTGGTAAATGTGGAATGATTATCTTAAAACTCTGGTCTTCATCTCCAATTGCCTAGTGGCTTTTTTTTTTTTTTTTTTTTTTTTTTTTGGAGACAAGAGTCTCGCTGTGTCACCCAGGCTGGAGTGCAGTGGTGCAATCTCGCCTCACTAAACCCACCGCCTCCTGGGTTCAAACGATTCTCCTGCCTCAGCCTCCTGAGCAGCTGGGATTACAGGTGCCTAGTGGTCATTTCTATTGGAATGTTTCATTGCTACCTCTATTTCAACATGGTTATGAAAAAACCCACGATCACCTGTGAACAAAAATTGGCTTTTTTTTCCCCCAAATCTTGTCACTTTTATTCCCATCCTTGAGGCCACCAAGATCAAAAACTTTATCTTCTAATTATTCCTATCTTTCACCCTCCATATCTAGCCAGGTTCTGTCCATGTTCCCTATAAAATTCATCTAATCTATTACCACTCCCTTCTGTTCCCCTTATCGTCACCTAATTCAGTCCCCTAGCTGCCAAGGACACTGTTATATCTTCCCAATTTGTTTCCCTGAATCCAATCTGTCCCCCATGAAATCAATCCTTACAGTGCAGGGAAGCCAACTCCCTTACACACACTCATCAGGACAGTGACCTATTTCTTTTTATATCTAAATACATTTGTATTTCCAGTCCTGTCCTAATTCTCCTATGTAACCGTATTTTCTGCTATTCACTCATGTGGATTAGTCCTTGTTAATGGATTGGTTTTAGTATATTCCCAAGAAAATCAGGGTTGAAAGACACACAAATTCTGGGTCTCTCATGATGACACTGAGTCACTGAATTAACCAACTCTAGAACCATCTTGAGATGTTTTTCTAATATGAGATAGTATTATCATTTAAGCCACATTCTTTTGGAACTTCTGTTACTTGCAGTCAAGAGCTTAACAACTGTTACGGGACAACTGATACAGCCCTTGGGAACTGATATTTCCAAGACATTCGGGACACAAGAACATGCCTACGTATGTTCAGAAAACCAAAACACTCTGTTTGTTTGGTAGAACCAAGTATTTTAAGTTGTAAATATGTTGTTTTGCCCAACAAAAGTAAAGGATCATCCTACTCTCTCAGTCTATTTGGGATGTTGATAGAGCCAAGTTCCAGAAAGGAGAATGTTTCTCCCCAGGGACTCATACAGTTTATGATGACTAAAATCAATCCACATTCATGAGGGAAAACTTTTAAATATAAAACATACAGCACAAAATTAAAAATAAATCTTGGTCTCACTGTCCAGGGATAATCACTGTTAATAATTTGATTTATTCATTCAGTTTTTAAAAATGAGTATACAGGGAGGGTAGGAGGAGTAGGAAGGATAAAAAATCTACATATTGGGTACAACGTATATGACTTGAGTGACGGGTACACTAAAATCTCAGACTTCACCACTCTACAATTCATCATGGAACCAAAAACCACTTATACCCTTACAGCTTTTGAAATAAAAAACATAGAATGAAAATTAAACAATGACTACATATACCTGAATATACTGTAAAAAGTAAAGAGCACTATACATTCAAATACTTTACATTTATTTATTTATTTATTTAGAGATGGAGTCTCACTCTGTTGCCCAGGCTGAAGTGCTGTGGCACAATCTCAGCTCACTGCAACCTCTACCTCCCGGGTTCAAGTGATTCTCCTGCCTCAGCCTCCTGAAGAGCTGGAATTACAGGCACATGCCACCAAGCCCAGCTAATTTTCTTATTTTTAGTAGAGATAGGGTTTCACCATGTTGGCCAGGCTGGTCTCGAACCCTGGCAGCAAGTGATCTGCCTGCCTCGGCCTCCCAAAGTGCTAGGATTACAGGCGTAAGCCACCTCACCTGGCCTACTTTGCTTTTATTTATTACTATTACTTTTTTGAGACAGAGTCTCATTCTGTCACCCAGGCTGGAGTGCAGCAGCATGATCACAGCTCACTGTAGCCTCTGCCTCCCGGGCTCAAGCCATCCTCCCACTTCAGCCTCCTGAGCAGCTGGGACCACAGGTGTGTGCCATCACACCTAATTTTTTTTTTTGGTACTTTTATTAGAGATGGGGTTTTGCCATGTTGCCCATGCTGGCCTTGAACTCGTGAGCTCAAAGTGATCCACCTGCCTCAGCTTTCCACAGCGCTGGTAATATAGGCATGAACCCCTGTGCCTGGCCTACTTTGCTTTTATTTAAAACACACACACACACATTTTTATTGCAGACATCTGAGAGTACTTAAGATAACAAATAAAATATTATCCTCCCTCCTTTTATTTATCTCATCAATATTTTCATACAGATAACCCCTGTTAATAATTAAACTGTATCTTTCCTGGTTTTTCTATGCATATGCAAATATATCTTTTTATTTTTACAAAAATAGCATACATATTGTTATGCATCATATACATTTCTACATAATATATTTTGGATAGCTTCCTACATGGTATAACTCTATCTCTTTCTTTTAAATTTACATTGTAATACCATTGAATAAATGTAGCAAAAGATTCTTAACCAATCTCCAATTATGGCTTGTTGGATTCTTTGTTTTTGCTCTGACAATCGCTTTTGCCGAGAATGTTTCTGTACACATGTATTTCAATACTTGAGCAAGTTTTACTGTAAGACAGATTTGAGAAGTGGAAATACTGAATCAAAAATGTACAATCTAAATTTTGTAATTAATAGGAATTAATGTGGAATGATTATCTTAAAACTCTGGTCTTCATCTCCAATTGCCTAGTGGTTTTTTTGTTTTTTTGTTTTTTTTTTTGGAGACAGAGTCTCGCTGTGTCACCCAGGCTGGAGTGCAGTGGTGCGATCTCGCTTCACTAAAACCACCGCCTCCTGGGTTCAAGCGATTCTCCTGCCTCAGCCTCCTGAGCAGCTGGGATTACAGGTGCCTAGTGGTCTGTAATCTACTGTGTAAATGTGTAAATCTACACATTTAATAGATACAGATACTATCTATCTGCCCTCCAAATATTTTCTGATTAGCTCTTAAAAATGAATTTATTTGGATCAAACTTGTTGAAAATTAGTAGAGTTTTAGTAAAGGATTCACATGTGTAACTACTATTCTTATTTTAATTTGCTTGCAGTATAAGGTCAAAATTATATACCAAGTTGACTTTTTAAAAAAATGGTGAGTACATAGGTGTATATATTTATGGGGTACATGAGATCTTTTGATCCAGGCATGCAATGTTTAATAATCACACCATGGAAGATGGGGTTCCCATCCCCACAAACATTTATCCTTTGTGTTATAAATAATCCAATTACACTCTTAGTTATTTTTAAATGCACAATTAAATTATTTTGACTATAGTCTCCCTGCTGTGCTATCAAATACTAGGTATTATTAATTACTTCAGGGTTTATTTGTAGCTGTTAACCATCCCCACTTCTCCCTACCCCATGCTACCCTTCCCAGCCTCTGGTAACTATCTTTCTACTCTCTACCAGATTGACTTTTAGTTTTGGGTTGAGTCTATCCTTATTCTCTGTGCAAAATCTCTCTTCCATTGAACAGAGTTGGACTGTCTTTGATGTCTGCATAAGTAGGCACCAAGGTTTGCAATAAGAAAAGTAGTATACCTTGGTGACTGTGAAGTCAGACAGATTACATTTGACTCCTACCTCTTTTAATCATTAGCTGTGTGTCCTTGGGGAAATGACGTGACCTCTCTTAGTTTCAGTTTTCTTTTCTGCAAAAATGGAAATGACAACAATAATTGCTACCTTGTAGGGAGGTTTGGAGAATTAAAACTCGTTCTACAGTGCCTAGCATGCAATAGACGCTTGTTGGGTGGTTTCCTTCTAAGGGTGCAACGGGTATGGCTCAAGCAAGAATGAAACCTATTACTGAAGATGATCCAAAATGAGATGCCAGAAGGTAGATGTCAGACCAAAAAATCCCACTGTCCACATCAGTCAGGCAATTGGCATTGGTAACTCTAGAAGACTTTTAAATCATCCTTATCATTTAGTTTCCCTAATAATGACAAATAAAAACAAAGTGGAAAGTGAGATGCCTAGATTCCCCTGCAACTAGATTTACCTTAAGAGCAAAGGAGGCCAGGCATGGTGGATCACGCCTGTAATCCCAGCACTTTGGGAGGCCGAGCTGGGTGGATCACAAGGTCAGGAGTTCAAGACCAGCCTGGCCAACATGGTGAAACCCCGTCTCTACTCAAAATATAAAAATTAGCCGGGCATGGTGGCAGGTGCCTGTAATCCCAGCTACTCAGGAGGCTGAGTCAGAGAATTGCTGGGAGGCAGAGGTTTCAGTGAGCTGAGATTGCACCACTGCTCCACAACCTGGGCCGTAGAGTGAGACTCCATCTCAAAAACAAAACAAAACAAAAAACAAGAAATAAACAACCAAAGGAGACCTTTCCACAGGTGTTAGTTGACAGAATTATAAGCCTTGCACATCTAGGATGAACCAGACAAGGAATATTTTGCAAAGATTAAGGCAGCAAGGAAATGTTGTCATTCTTGCGTAAGCAAAGTCTACGTTATTCTGCTATAATCAGAGCATTTTGCATTTGTGCAACAATTCTTGCTCTTATGGGTACATCAGAGCTCAAGTGTGCCATGAAAAGGTAATGGCAATAAATTCCACAAAAGAATGAGTGACAGTAATTGGAAGGAATTTGAGCAGAAGGGATATGAAAAAGTAGCTTTTGATTATTCTCTTCTTTTTTATAATATAAATGATCATTGGTAACACATTTAATTTGACAGTAGTCCAAGGCCTTCAAAAATATTCCTACGAACCAGTTATAAACTGTGATAATCAATTTCTTGGCAATTACACTGATTAAGGAAATTATTCATCTACTACATTCTTCATCTCAGATATTTTTCAAATGTCACTTGAGCCTCTTAAGCTTAAAAAAACCTTGCTATTAGCCAGTACACACAATAAATGTAAAACCGATGGCACCAATATTATGAATAGTACCTCTTAGGACAAAATCTGATTTGTTTGAAGGCAGATGACATTATAAAGGATAGTCAAGATGTCACTAGAGGGACTTTGTATGCAGCTTGATTTACTTAGCATCTTTGTCACTTTATAGATTGAGATATGATTGATAGTAACATTAATATAGAAAGTATGTTAATATTAGAACAGACTTTAAGATCCCCTACTAGAAAATTCTCCACCTCCTCAAATTGATATAATTTGGAATAAAATGCCCTAAGGATGCAATGATTCTTAGTCTTGCTACCCCTTGATGTAAGCTTTTATTTTTTTTAGAAAATTAAATCAGTTTTATTGAGGTACACTTTATATACAATAAAATAATACACCCAATTTAAGTATACATTTCCGTAAGTTTTGACAAATGTGCACACCTGTGTAACCATTACCACAATCAAGGTACATTTTATCACCCCAAAAGTTCCTTTTTGGTCCTTCCCAGGCAACACCCTCTACCCCTCAGCCCTAGGCAAATGCTAACGTATTTTATATCACTATGAATTGGATTAGATTTCTCTTTTCTGGAGTTTTATATCAATCAATCTTAAAGAGTGTAGAATTTTGTGTCTGCTTCCTTTACTCAGCACAATGCTTCTGAGATTCACCCACGTTTCCTGTATCAGCCGTTCATTTTCTTTTTTCGGCTTGTGAGAACATAGTGTAACATGTGTAGACATTCAATTGATGACAGCCATTTTTGTTTCCAGTTTGGGGCCATTATCAGTGAAGCTGCTTTATCTATTCATAAATAAACCTTTGTTGTGGACATATTTATTTCTCTTGGGTAAGCATCTAGGAAGAGTATTGTAGGGCGGCAGTCCCCAATCTTTTTTGTACCAGGGATTCATTTTGTGGAAGACACTTTTTCCACAGACTGTGGGTGGCGTGGGATGTTTCTGGGATGAAACTGTTCTACCTCAGATCATCAGGCGTTAGAGTCTCATACAGAGCATACAACCTAGATCCTGGGCATGCACAGTTCACAATAGGGTTCCACTCCAAAGTGGGTGGATCATCTGAGGTCAGGAGTTCAAGGCCAGTCTGACCAACATGGTGAAACCCCATCTCTGCTAAAAATACAAAAAAGTTAGCCAGGTGCGGTGGCATGCACCTGTAATCCCAGCTACTCGGGAGGCTGAGGCAGGAGAATCGCTTGAACCTGGGAGGCAGAGGTTGCAGTGAGCCAAGATCACATCACTGCACTCCAGCCTGGGCGACGAGAGCAAAAAACTCCCATCTCAAAAAAAAAAAAAAAGAAAGAAAGAAAGAAAGAAAGAAAAAAAAAAATCGAATGTCCCTGCTGATCTGACGGAGGGTGGAGCTCAAGCAGTAATGCTAGCTCCCAACTCACCTCTTGCTGTGCCGCCTGGTTCCTAATAGGCCAGGGACCGGTACCAGTCCACCACCTGAGAGTTGGGGAGCCCTGTTGTATGGCACATGATAATATGATTTTATAAGAAACTATCAAACTGTTTTCAAGAGGGGTTGAACAATTTTATATCCTCATGAGCAGTGTATGAGACTTCAACTTGTTCCTTACACTTGCTAACACTTGCTGTTGGCAATCTTTTCACTTTCGGCCATTGTAGTGGGTCTGTAGAAGGATGCAGTTGTGGGTAATGACTAATGATGTTAAGCTTCTTTCCATGTGCTCAGGCATGTGAATATTGATTCATATCATTTCTCATTAAAAAAAATCAGGTTGTCTTATCGTTGAATTGCAATAATTCTTTTTATTTTTTAGATGTAGTCCTTTGCTGGATATATGTATTATAGGCTGGGTGTGGTGGCTCACACCTGTAATCCCAGCAGTTTGGGAGGCCGAGGCTGGCGGACCACTTGAAGTCAGGAGTTTGAGACCAACATGGCCAACATCGTGAAACCCTGTCTCTACTAAAAATACAAAAAAAAAAAAAAAAAAAAAGGAAAAAAAATTAGCTGGGCTCTATGGCTCGTGCCTGTAGTCCCAGCTACTCAAGGGGCTGAAGCAAGAGAATCTCTTGAACCTGGGAGATGGAGGTTGCAGTGAGTCAAGATTGTGCCACTGCACTCCAGCCTGGGCAACACAGTGAGACTCTTTTTCAACAACAACAACAAAAACAAACAAACAAAAAAAGGATATATGTATTATGATTCTCCAATCTGTGGCTTGCCTCTTTATTTTCTTAACATTGTCATTTGAAGACGAGAAGTTGTGAATTTTGATGAAAAGGGATGCTTTTCAATATCTACTTTGTCTCCTCCACAGCTTTGAACTTGGAACTGGGCTTTTTTGAACACAAAAGTGGAGCCTTAGTTAATTTTTGTTTATTGACAAATTAGAAAAGGCAAAAAAATTCACTCTGAATTGAGAATTCTTTTTTAAATATTGTCATTCTTGCTTCAAGTAAATTATGCACATTTTTAAAAAGCAGTCCCATGAGGTCAAAATATATCACTGCTCCCATTTCATAGAAAAATAACCTGAGGTGTGAAAACCTGAAGCCCACGACCCGAGGTGATGAAAAATGACCGAGGCAGATCAGGGGATGCAGTGAAACTAATTGGTCACAGTGAAGGGTCTCAGACGAGCCCTCGGGGGGCTGGCGCTGGTGCCTAAACTCACTGAGCTAAATAATTACAGCAAGGCTGGGGCCTGGAGGAATTCACCCAGGTCTGCTGCTGTTGACCCTTCTTGCTTCATTTTATTTCTTCTTCCACCCTCCTTTCCTCTCTTCTTTCCCTCTCTATTCTTGTCTGCTTTCAGTTTCGTATGAACTCCATTCAGCTGTGCTTGGTTCTGCAATTCTTTGTCTCTCCATTTCTTTCTTCCCCTCCTCTCCCTCCCTCTTCTCTCTCCTTCTGTGTGTCTCTCTTCCCCTCACTTCACCTCTCTACCTCTCCCCCGTTGTCTCCTCCCCATTCTTTCCCTCTGTGTGTCTCTCTCCCCTCACTCCACCTCTCTCTCTCTGCCTCTCCCCCTTTCTCTGCCTCCTCCCTCACTCTTTCCCTCTGTTTGTCTCTCTTCCTCCCACTCCACCTCACTTTGCCTCTCCCCCTTTATCTCTGCTTCCTCCCTCACTCTTTCCCTCTCTGCCTCCCTCCCTCTCGCTCTGCCTCTGTGTACCCCGTCACCTCCCACTTTCTGCCTCCCTCCCCAGGCCACTATTCACCTCCCTCTTTGCCTCCTTCCCCATGCTCCACTTCCCTCTCTACCTCTTTCCCCACCCCCGCCTTTCTCTCTCTCTCTCTCTCTCTGTCTGTCTGCCTATCTTAAATGAGGAACTCTCCTTTCGTAACTGATCAAAGCTTGATCTCCATGTTGTACGGGAATATATATGTGTGATTACAGCTATATCATCTTCTGAGGGTGACAGGACCCAAAGCAATGGCGAGACTCCCCTTCAAAGGCACAGATACCAGCCTGGGCGAAAATACTGACTGCCGAGTGGCATCCACTGGGACTGAAGAACACACCTCATTTTAGTGGAAACCCCAATATATTCTGGATTGTTGTTCTCTCAGGTTTACCAAAACTGATAATTTTCCTATGACTATACCTTTAAAAAAAACAGCAGTCACCTCTCTAGACTTTAAACACAGTGATCTTCTCATGATAGGACATTTCCCTGCTTCAAGCTTGGATGAAGTCCTAAATGCTTCAGGTAGCCTACAAGGTCCTATCTAATTAGGATCTCTCTCTGCCCTCCCCTCATCTCTGAACACTCCCTCATGTTCCACTGTTGGGTTTTTTTGTGTGTGTTTTTTTCCTTGTTCGTTTGTTTCACACCAAGCCCCTCCCACTTCAGACTATTCCCATGAGAATTCCCAGTTCCGGAAATGCTCTTCCGCCTGTTCAGTTGACTTCCTGCCACTCACCTTCTTCATAGTAACTAATAACTATTTGTTTACCAAAAATGCAGTATGCTTCAAATCAACAAACTCAAGCAATACAGAGCTCAAAATAGAGTCTTAAAAAAGTCAGTTCACCACTAATTACTATCATTCACATTGAACATTGTTTCAAACCTTGTTTATGTACACAAATACATAAATATGTATACATGTTTAAGATATGTAGTACATATTAAATACATACACAAACACACATAAAATATATTTAATATACATATGTATATACATTTAAATGTATGTTACATATAATGTATATATATTTTATACATGCTCATGTGATATATATTACTTACATAATACATATACACACACATATATACATGTAAAAAGTACTTCATGCTGGGCGCAGTGGCTTATACCTGTAATTCCAATACTTTGGGAGGCTGCGGCAGGCGGATTGCTTGAGCCCAGGAGTTTGACACCAGCCTGGACAATGTAGTAAGACTTTGTCTCTACAAAAAAAAATTTCTTTCTAATTAGCCTGGCATGGTGGTGTACCCCCGTATTCCCTGCACCAGTGCACTCCAGCCTGGGCGACAGAGTGAGACCTTATCTCAAAAAAAAAAAAAAAAAAGAAAAAAAGGTCACATGCAGTGGCTCATGCCTGTAATACCAGCACTTTGGTAGGCCGAGGCAGGTAGATCACCTGATGCCAGGAGTTCAAGACCAACCTGGCCAACATGACAAAACCGTGTCTCAAAAAAATTCAACTGTCTACTGATAAATTTTTCAGAATGGAACCATCTGAAAATTACTAATGGTTGTTTTATTTCTATTTTAACAAGGGAAGTAAGGAAAAAAAAATCCCAATCCATGTCATAATTTGGAATTAAGAAACAACAAAGCCTCGTAAGAGCAAGTCAGGAACTGTGCACACTCTGTAAGGATGTGTTTGTATTTCATAAAAAGCTAAAGGGCAGGAGCAAGAATGACTGCTGTGTGGCAAATAAACCCTGTTCTTTATACTTCCCCCAAGTGTTCCTCTTCTGCCTGGCCACCATCCCCAACCTCTCCAAGCATTTGGTATCTAGCGCAGCTTCCCTCACATGTAAGAAACAAGCAGCTGGGTGCAGGCGGTCACGCCTCTAATCCCAACACTTTGGGAGGCTGAGGCAGGTGGACCACCTGAGGTCAGGATTTCGAAACTAGCCTGGCCAACATGGTGAAACCCCATCTCTACTAAAAATACAAAAATTAGCTGGGTGTGGTGGTGGGCACCTGTAATCCCAGTTACTCAGGAAGCTGAGGCAGGAGAATCACTCCTGTGAGGCGGAGTTGCAGTAAGCCAAGATTGCACCACTTCACTCCAGCCTGGGCAACAAGAGTAAAACTCTGTCTACAAAAAAAAAAAAAAAAAAAAGGAAAATCCCCCTAAAGTTAATAAAAACACAGACTAGTAAATAGACTTATTCTGTTTTATAACAGCTTTCTGGAGCTGTACTTGACGAATTATAAACTGCACAAACTCCAAGCATTGAAGGTGGTAAGTTTTGTCTTTGTACGTGCCATGAAACCATCTCCATACTCGAGAGAGTGAACACACCTTCACTACCAAAAGTTTCCTCGTACACTTTTGCAGATTCCTTTTACCCTTCCCTGCCACCTTTCGCCAAACAGATGTGCTTTCTTTCTCTATAAACTATTGATTATTTTGAATTTGTTAAGGGTTTTCTATAAATAGAATCATATAATACACACTCATTTTGTGTGGCTTATTTCACTCAGATAATTATTTTGAGATTATTTGATGTGTTGTTGCATGCATCAGTAGTTTATTCCTTTTAATTACCATATAATATTTCATTGTACCTATGTACCACAATTTGTTTATCATTACCTGTTGATGGATATTTGGGTTCTTTCCAACTTGGGGATACTGCAATGATAAATTGGACTTCCTCACAAATTTAAAGCATCTGCTCTTCAAAATACATTGTTGAGAGGAAAAAAAGACAAGCCACAGACCCAGAGAAAATATTTGCAAAGCACGTATCTGATAATGGGTATCCGAGTTATATAAAGACTTCTCAAAACTCAGTAAGTAAACTAACAACCCATTATAATTTTTAAATCATGTATTTTGATTTTAACAGATTCTGTTGACTCCTTGCTACAAAAGATTAGAAAATTAGCATTCATACTTTCTCCTACAATTTTTCCCTCCTCCTTCTAGTTTTGCAGTTTTATTACTATTTTTATGTTGTCAAGGTTTATAAGGTTTTCATTATGGCCCTAACCACAACTGCCATTATGTTTATCCTTAGTCCTTTATCTAAAGAGATTCAGTGTTCACAGCTAGTTCTTCCACTATATCATCTTAATTACTAAATTTATTTATTTTTTTTAGAGGCAGGGTTTTACTATGTTGCCCAGGCCGGTCTTGAACTCCTGGGCTCGAGTGATCCTACCGCCTTGGCCTCCCAAAGTGCTGGGACTACAGGCGTCAGACACCGCACCTGGCCTAATTACTAAATGTACACTAAATTTGGTAATTAAGGTAAAATTTTAAATTTGTATTGATTCATGAGCTGCTGGATCTTGTCAACAAGCAACTTTGTCCAACAAGGGCTCACAGCACCCTGTTCCTTAGGTTCTTGAATGCTTGACATAGCTTTCTGTTGCCGTCACTCCTGATGCTTGGTTGTGTCTACATACCTTCTGTGAAATCTCAGCCTAAAAAGTAGTGATTTTTAACCCTTTTCCTGTTTGCCCTGAGAATACTTGCCAGCAGTACTTGTGGATGCAGCATTCACCCCGAGATAACTTTGCCACAAAATAGCTCACTTTTATTATTATTGTATCGCTCTATTTCATCGACTTTGGAAACCAAAGACATCATTCTATTTATAGCATTCTGTTTTTAGTAGTGGCATTTCCGTTTACAAAATATAGTAATTCTCAATTGCTGAAAATGTCAAATTCTAGAAAACATGGCATTCCTACACATGATGTTAATATGATTCTCTAACAGCCGTAGGCTGAAAATTCATTTCATGAATCTGATTTTTCTGGAACAGACAATTCTGATGATTCGGATGATTCTGATGTTAGTTTTGTTTACAAATAACTCCAAGAACAGGATTTTTGTTTTTGTTTTTGAGATGGAGTCTCGCTCTGTTGCCCAGGCTGGAGTGCAGTGGCGAGATCTCGGCTCACTGCAACCTCCGCCTCCTGGGTTCAAGCAATTCTCCTGCCTCAGCCTCCTGAGTAGGTGAGACTACAGGTACCCGCCATCACACCCAACTAATTTTTGTATTTTTAGTAGAGACAGGGTTTCACCGTGTTAGCCAGGATAGTCTCAATGTCTTGACCTCGTGATCCGCCCGCCTTGGTCTCCCAAAGTGCTGGGATTACAGGCGTGAGCCACTGCGCCTGGACAATTTTTGGTGGAGGCAGGGTTTCACCATGTTGGCCAGGCTGATCTCTCTCAAATGATCCACCCACCTCGGCCTCCCAAAGTGCTTGGATTACAGGCATGAACCACCATGCCCCAGCCATGTTTTATATTTCATTTTCACATTGAAAATCAGTCAGATTTGCTTCAACTTCAAAGAGCGTGTTTATGTAAAATTAAATGAGTTCTGGCAGCAAGCTGCACTTTTACTAAATGGGAAACGGGTAAGTAAGGTTGCATTAGTCCATTCTGGAATTGCTATAAAGAAATGCCTGAGGGCTGGGCGTGGTGGCTTGCACCTGTAATCCAAGCACTTTGGGAGGCCGAGTCTGGCAGATCACGAGATCAGGAGATCAAGACCAGCCTGGGAAACATGGCGAAACCCGTCTCTACTAAAAACACAAAAATAAATAACCAGGTGTGGTGGTGCATACCTGTGGTCCCAGCCACTCCGGAGGCTAAGGTGGGAGGATCACTTGAGCCTGGGAGGCAGTGGTTGCAGTGAGCCAAGATTGTGGCACTCTACTCCAAGCTGGGTGATAAAATGAGACCCTGTCTCAATTTTAAAAAAGAAAAAGAAATGCCTGAGACCGGGAAATGTATTTTTTAAAAAATAGGTTTAATTGGCCCATGGTTCTGCAAGCTGTACAGGAAGCATGATGCTGGCATCTGCTTGGCTTCTGGGGAGGCCTGAGGAAACTTACAATGAGGGCTGAGGACAAAGAGGGAATGAGCACTTCACATGGCCAGAGCAGGAGCAAGAGGGAATGAGGTGGGAGGGGCCACACACTTTTAAACAACCAAATCTCATGAGAACTCAGCATAGTGAGGACAGCACCAAGGGGGATGGTGTAAAACCATGAGAAACTTCCCCCATGATCCAACCATCTCCCACCAGGCCCCAGCTTCAACATTGTGGATTACAATTCAACATAAGATTTGGGTTGGGACACAGATTCAAACCATATCAGAGGCGTTCCATTAATTTAGGATTTGGCTAATCAACCTGTACCCTACCTCCAACTTACATCCTAAGACCATAACTCATCAATGATTTGGCCACTAAACAAAAAAGAATTCACGTAAATCATTGACGAGTTATGGTCTTATGTAAATTGTTGTATGTAAGCATGTTATTGTATACTTAACAAGTATAATAAGTATGTTATGGTATACTTAAGTATGTTGCGGTATACATCCATGTCATGGATGAGTTATGGTCTTATGTAAGTATGCTGTATGTTGTTATGTTCACATAAATCATTGAAGAATTATGGTCTTATATAAGTTGAAATTTTCTAAAATGTAAATTTTAAGGGTAGAAATTTTGTCTTTCTTGTTTACCACTCACTCTTAGAACAGTTTGTGGTTCAAAGTAGGTGCTCAATACATTGGCTTATGCATTTAATATCTATTGTTTGAGGAACTGGAGATACTTTAATCAAATAGACAACAACAAAAAATCTCTGCCTTCCTGGAGCTTGCATTCTGGTAGGGTGAGGCAGAAAATGAACCCATAAACATATGTAGTATGTACAGTGTTTTGGAGAAATAATAAATATAATTTCTATATATTAAATATATAATATGTAGAGTGTTTCAGAGAAAACTAAAGAAAGGCAAAGGGATTATGGTGATGTGAGATGCATACTGTTTGAATATGGTGGCCAAGGAAAGCCTTACCTGCAAAGCGACATTTAAGAAAATAGCTCAATCAGGCAGCATTCACTTAGGACCAGGACGAAGATGGTAAGGAATGAAGACAAAGTGTGACTAATGCAAACATGAGGAGGAAGAAAGCAAGCTTAGAATGGATATCTAATCTCTTTCTTATTACAGAAGTCCACCTTCAACTGGGAATTTATTCTGAGCTAAGTGGCAGAAATATAATTTGGATTTTCTGATTCACTTCTTTCCCTCAACCATCCCTGTTACTGACCAAGGAAGGAAAGGATGTTGGGAAACCCTCTCAGCGCTCTGTGGGACTGCTAGATCTCAGTCACAAAATAGCAACAAAAAGTAACCACCTCTCTAAACCAAGCAATTTTAATGAAATAACTCCCAAAAGGTTAGGAGTTTCTGTTTTCCTCTTGTATGTACCATAAACTGTACAACGTCTAGGGGATACAGTTGTGTGCATAGCAGATAAGGGTCTGTCCTCCCCGCATCAAGCTTCCAGCTTAGTTATTAATACTAGAGGGTTACACACTAGATTTACACCACAGAAATGGGCAAACCCTCCAAATCAGAGCTTCATTTCTCATTTGTTGATTTTCCAGGCTTTAAGTGATGGAGAAAATGTTAATCCTACACACACAACACAAAAACGTGTTGTGTGTGTAGCTGCTACGTTGCATACAGCACAGAAGCATGAGGCAGTATTCTAGTATTCAAAAATTATTGCCTGAGAGGATAAGAACACCAAAGGGGGAGAAATGACAGAATAGGAGGCAGAACTAATCTGCATCTCCCACTTCAAGGGACAGAGCAGTGTGTGGAGAGCTACATCTTGAACTTTTGCTCCAAGGACTAATGCAGGAACATACCAGGAAAGCTAAGAGAATCCACAGACCCTTTGAAGGAGGTGGACTGCTGCTGCAGGCTCCGTGGGACAACTGAGGAACTGTGAGTCCGCTTGCTTTCAGAGCTGGGAGGCTTGTATCCTGGGGCAAGTTCTCAGCCCTGCTCACTGGCTACCTGGAAATAAACTTGGTGCTGTTGGTGGGGCATGGTTGGAAAGAGAGGAGTCTGGCCTTTTGGCTGCAGGCTGTTTGAGAGCTAGGTGAGGCCTGTGTGTGGCTGCCTGCTTTTCCTCACTTCTTTGGTGACCTGTGTGATGCAGCAGAGACAGCCGTAATCCCCCTGGGAACATAACTCCATTGGCCTGGGAACCATATCCCCATCCCCTACGGCAGCCACAGCAAGCCCCACTCAAGGAGAGTCTGAGCTCAGACACGCCTATCCCTGCCCCCACCTGATGGTCTTTCTTTACCTCTCCTGATAGCCAAAGACAAAGGCCATTATCTCTTGGGAGCTCTAGGGCCCCCACTACCACCTGATCTTCCCTATGCTACCACAACTGATATGCTCTTGAAAGTGCCAGCTCCTGGCTGGAGGCCAACACAAAAGCAGAACACTTAACAAAAATACAACCAAGGACCCTCACAGAATCCACTTCACTGCCCTGCTACCTTCACCAGAGTAGCTACTGGTATCCATGCCTTACAGACCTGAAGATAGATCACATCACAGGATTCTTTGCATATGCTCCCCAGTACCAGCCCAGAGCCCTGTAGCTCTGCTGGGTGGCCAGATCCAAAAGAGAAATAATAATCACTGCAGTTTGGCTCTCAGAAGCCCCATCCATAAGGGAAAGGGGAGAGCAACACATCAAGGGGGCACTCTGTGGGACAAAAGAATCTGAACAGCAGCTCCTGAGTCCCAGATCTTCCCTCTGATATAGTCTACCCAAATGAGAAGGAACTAGGAAAACAATTCTGGTAATATGACAAAATAAGATTCTTTAACACCCCCAAAAGATCACACTAGCTCACCAGCAGTGGATCCAAACAAAGATGAAATCTCTGAATTGCCAGAAAAAGAATTCAGAAGGTCAATTATTAAGCCAATCAAAAAGGCACCAGAGAAAAGTGAAGTCCAACTTAAAGAAATTTAAAAAATGATACAGGATATGAATGGGAAAATCTCCAGTGTAATAGATAGCATAAATAAAAAAAAATCACAACTTCCGGAAAGCAAGGACACACTTAGAGAAATGCAAAAATCACTGGAAAGTCTCAGCAATAGAATGGAACAAGTAGAAGAAAGAACTTCAGAACTCAAAGACAAGGCTTTTGAATTAACCCAATCCAATAAAGACAAAGAAAAAAATAACTTTAAACAATGAGCAAAGCCTCCATAAGTATGAGATTATGTTAAATAACCAAACCTAAGAATAATTGGTGTTCCCTAGGAAGAAGAAAAATCTAAAAGTTTGGAAAACATATTTGAGAGAAAAATTGAGGAAAACTTCCCTGGCCTTGCTAGAGATCTAGACATCCATATAGTAGAAGCTCAAAGAGTGCCTGCGAAATTCATCACGAAAAGATCATCTCCTAGGCATATGGTCATCAGGTTATCTAAGGTCAAGAGAAAGGAAAAAGTCTTAAGTACTGTGAGGCAAAAGCATCAGGAACCTATAAAGGAAAACCTGTCAGATTAACAGCAGATTTCTCAGAAGAAACCTTACAAGCTAGAAGGGATTGGGGTCCTATCTTTAGCCTCCTTAAACAAACAAGTATGAGCCAATAATTTTGTATCCAGCAAAACTATGCTCCATAAAGAAAAGATAGTCTTTTTCAGACAAACAAATGCTGAGAGAATTCACCACTACCAAGCCAGCACTACAAGAACTACTAAAAGGAGCTCTAAATCTTGAAACAAATCCTTGAAATACACCAAAATAGAATCTCCTTAAAGCATAAATCTCACAGGACCCATAAAAAAAATACAATGAAAAAAAAAAAAAGAAAGAAACAGGATAGAGGCAACAAATAGCACAATGAATAGAATAGTACCTCACATCTCACTACTAACATTGACTGTAAATGATCTAAATGCTCCACTTAAAAGATACAGAATGGCAGAATGGATAAGAACTCACCAACCAAGTATCTGCTGTCTTCAGGAGACTCACCTGACACATAAGGACTCACATAAACTTAAGGTAAATGGGTGGAAAAAGATAGTCCATGCAAATGGACACCAAAATTGACCAGGAGTAGCTATTTTTATATCAGACCAACCTTAAAGGAACACCAGTTTAAAAAGACAAAGTGGGACATTATATATAATGATAAAAGGACTAGTCCAACAGGAAAACATCACAATCCTAAATACATATGCACCTAACACTGGAGCTCTAAAATTTATAAAACAATTACTATTAGACCTAAGAAATGAGATAGGCAGCAACACAATAATAGTGGGGGACTTTAATACTCCACTGACAGCACTAGACAGTCATCAAGACAGAAAGTCAACACAGAAACAATGGACTTAAACTATACCCTACAACAAATGGACTAAATAGATATTTACAGAATATTCTACCCAACTGCAGAATATACATTCTGTTCATCAGCACATGAAACATTCTCCAAGATAGACCATATGATAGGCCACAAAACAAGTCTCAACACATTTTTAAAAATCAAAATTATATCAAGTACTTTCTCAGACCACAGTGGAATAAAATTAGAAATCAACTCCAAAAGACACCCTCAAAACCATGCAAATACATGGAAATTAACCTGCTCCTGAAAATTGTTATGTCAACAATGAAATCCAGGGGGAAATTAAAAAATTCTTTGAACTGAATAGTGACACAACCTATTAAAACTTCTGGGATACGGCAAAAGTGGTGCTAAGAGTAAAGTTCATAGCATTAAATGCCTATATCAAAAAGTCTCAAAGAGCATAAATGAACAATCTAAGGTGACACCTCACGGAACTAGAGAAAGAAAAACCAAACTGAAACCCAGCAGAAGAAAAGAGATAACCAAGATCAGAGCAGAACTAAATGAAATTGAAATAAAAACAAAAGATAAATGAAACAAAAAGCTGGTTCTTTGAAAAGATAAATAAAATTGATAGACCATTAGTGAGATTAACCAAGAAAAGAGAGAAGATCCAAATAAGCTCAATTAGAAATGAAATGGGTGATATTATAACTGATACCACAGAAATACCAAAAATCATTCAAGGCTACTATGAATGTTCGCCTTTACATGCATAAATGAGAAAACCTAGAGGAGATGGATAAATTACTGGGAATATGCAACCCTCCTAGATTAAACCAGGAAGAAATAGAAACTCTGAACAGACCAATAACAAGCAGTGAGATTGAAATGGTAATTAATAAGTTACCAACAGCAACAAAGCAGCTCAGGACCAGGCAGATTCACAGCTGAATTCTATCAGACATTCAAAGAAGAATTGGTACCAATCCTATTGATGCTATTTCAAAAGATACAGAAAGAGAGAACCCTCCCTAAATCTATGAAGCAGTATCACCCTAATACCAAAAACAGGGAAGGACATAACAAAGAAAGAAAACCACAGACCAATATCCCTGATGAACATAAATGGAAAAATTCTTAACAAAATACTAGCCATCAGAATACAACAGCATATCAGAAAGATAATCTACCATGATCAAGTGGGTTTCATACCAGGGATACAGGGATGGTTTAACAACCACAATAAATGTGATACACCATGCAAACAGAATTAAAAACAAAAATCACATGATCATCTCCACAGATGCAGAAAAAGCATTTGACAAAATCCAGCATCGCTTTATGATTAAAATCCTCAGCAAAACTGGCATAGAAGGGACATACTTTAAGGTAATAAAAGCCACCTATGGCAAACCAACAGCCAGTATTATACTGAGTTGGGAAAAGTTGAAAGCAACCCCCTGAGAACTGGAACAAGACACAGATGCCCACTCTCACCACTTGGTACTGGAAGTCCTAGCCAGAGCAATCAAACAATAGAAAGAAATAAAGGGCATCCAAATTGGTAAAGAGGAAGTCAAAATGCCACTGTTTGCTTATGACATGATCGTATACCTAGAAAACCCCAAAGACTCATCCAAAAAGCTCTTAGAACTGGTAAATGAATTCAGCAAAGTTTCAGGATACAATATTAATGTGCACAAATCAGTACCTTTGCTATACACCAACAGCAACCAAGTCGAGAATCAAATCAAGAACTCAACTCCTTTTACAATAGCTGCAACAACAACAAAAATACTTAGGAATATACTTAATCAAGGAGGTCAAAGACCTCTGAAGGAAAACTACAAAACACTGCTGAAAGAAATCACAAATGATACAAACAAATGGAAACACATCCCATGCTCATGGATGGATAGAATCAATATTGTGAAAATGACCATACTGCCAAAAGCAATCTACAAATTCAATGCAATTCTTATCAAACTACCACCAGCCTTCTTCGCAGAACTAGAAAAAACAATCCTAACATTCATAGGGAACCAAAAAAGAGCCCACATGGCCAAAGCAAGACTAAGAAAAAAACAAACAAAAAACACACCAAATCTGGAGGCATTACCCAAATTCAAGCTATGCTATAAGGCCATAGTCACCAAAACACCATGGTACTAGTATAAAAATAGGAACAGTGGAACAGAATAGAGAGCGCAGATATAAAGCCAAACACTTACAGTCAACTGATCTCTGACAAAGCAAACCAAAACATAAAGTGGGAAAGGATACCCTATTCAACAAATGGTGCTGGGATAACTGGCAAGCCACATGTAGAATGAAACTGGATCCTCATCTCTCACCCTATACAAGAATCAACTCTAGCTAAATCAAAGATTTAAATCTAAGACCCGAAGCCATAACATTCTGGAAGATAACACTGGAAAATCCCTTCTGGAAATTGGCTTAGGCAAAGACTTCATGACCAAGAACCCAAAAGGAAATCCAACAAGAACAAAGATAGATGGGACTTAATTACACTACAAAGCTTCTGCACAGTGAAAGACATAATCAGCAAAATAAACAGGCAACCCATAGAGTGGGAGAAAATCTTCACAATCTATACACCTGACAAAGGACTAATGCCCAGAATCTACAAAGAACTCAAATCCGCAAGAACGAAACAATCCCATCAAAAAGTGGGCTAAGGATGGGAACAGATAATTCTCAAAAGAAGATATACAAATGGCTGACATGAAAAAATGCTCAACGTCACTAATGATCAGGGAAATGCAAATCAAAACCACAATGAGATACCACCTCACTCCCGCAAGAATGACCATAATAAAAAAAAAATACATGTTAGAGTGGATGTGGTGAAAAGCGAACACTTCTACACTGTTGGTGGAGTGTAAACTAGTACAACCTCTATGGGAAACAGCGTGAAAATTCCTTAAAGAATTAAATCTACTATTTGATCCAGCAATCCTACTCCTGGTTATCTACCCAGAGGAAAAGAAGTCAATGTACAAAAAAGATACTTGCACATGCATATTCATAGCCACACAATTCACACTTGCAAAAATAGGGAACTAGCCCAAATGCCCATCAGTCAATGAGTGCATAAAGAAAATGTGGTCTGTATGTATATATGTGTGTGTGTGTGTGTGTGTGTGTGGGCCATCTACCATGGCCCAAGGTAATACACACACACACACACACACACAAGCGTGCACACACACACCATGGAATACTACTCAGCTCTAAAAAGGAATGAAATAATGGCATTCACAGCAACCTGGATAGAATTGGAAACCATTATTCTAAGTGAAGTAACTCAGGAATAGAAAACCAAACATCGTACGTTCTCACTTATACGTGGGAGCTAAGTTATGAGCATGCAAAAACATAAGAATGATACAATGGGCTTTGCTGACTTGGGGAAAGGGTGGGAAGTGGGTGAGGGATAAAAGACTACACGTTGGTTACAGTGTACACTGCTTGTGTAATAGGTGCACCAGAATCTCAGAAATGGCCACTGAAGAACTTATTCATGTAACTGATCGCTACCCATTCCCCGAAAACCATTGAAATTAATAAAAAGTTATTACCTAAATCTGCAAAGGAGCCACTCATATCATTGACAAATGAGTGAAATCCCTATATACATTTCCTTTGTTGTTTTACTTTCCTTTTTTACTCATTAAGGAAAACATCAACCAACATTCATGTCAGAATTATGCTCCTTTGTCTTTCACACAGCACGGCCACAGATACAGGTATTCCTCAAAAGGCAACATTCTGAACAATCGGTTGGCTCACATTAGAATCCATTGTTGTTTCTGTCCACAGCATCATCATGATCTTGAAATGAAAAGACAGAAGGGCAAATGCTCTGCATTGCTTGTTGGTTTGTAACCAAACATCTACCATGGCCCAAGGTGAGTAATGGCAGGGGCTGAATAATGCAGCAGGGTTAGCAACACTGGGAAGACTGACCAGGATAAACTGTACAAAGTTTGGGAGACACGGCTGTGTGTAGAGCAGATACTCACATCCCCACATCAAGCTTCCAGCTTAGTGATTAATGCTAGAGGGTTACACACTAACATTTACACCATGGAAACGGGCAAACCCTCCAAATCAGAGCTTGATTTTTAAAATTTAAAATTTAATTTTTTTTTGAGATGGAGTCTCTCACCCAGGCTGGAGTGCAGTGGCGTGATCTCCGCTCACTGTAACTTCTACCTCCCAGGTTCAAGCGATTCTCCTTCCTCAGCCTCCCTAATAGCTGGGACTACAGGCATGCGCCACCATGCCTGGCTAATTTTTCTATTTTTAGTAGAAACAGGGTTTTACCATGTTGGCCAGGCTGGTCTCAAACTCCTGACCTCAGGTGATCCACCTGCCTTGGCTTTCCAAAGTGCTGGGATTACAGGTATGAGCCACTGTGCCTGGCCCAGAGCTTGATCAATTATTTGATTTTTTGAGGCTTAAGAGAGTGATAGAGAAAGTGTTAATCATGCCAATTAAACTAAAAACAAAAATTTTTTCAACTTGCATCTGAGAAGGTACCTCTAGTGAGCCTCCATCATGCGGGTTTACTCCTGGATCCTGATTGTGAGACCTACTGCATTGAATTGTTCTCTCCTCTTTTTGCCTAAGGCTACCATTGGGCTACTGATAGGTGTGGCAACAAGCTACACCTAAGGATTAAGTCAGCACTCATAAAACTGTGTTACCTCTGTGAGAAACAGGGCCCACCTAGGGCGCTAATCCACAGCCTAGGCTAACTGGCTCTTTAATACATATTCATACACAAATGTTAGATAAAGAGCTGGAATAGCAGCTCCACTTTTGTGGGTTGAGCCTTTGCATTTGAGCATCCCTTCCTCAACATTTTCCTGCAAACTCCAGCCATAAATGGCATATTATAAAAAGGGCGAGAAAGTTTATATTCTGTAACAGTCTAGGAATTCACTCCTTTGAGGAAGTATCTCTACTTTATACCAAGATGTGCCAGTGTGACCAAATGAATGGGTTTCTGAATAACTATGGATAAAATATGTGTTTGAATGACCAGGACACTCAGTATATGCTTGTTCTCAGTGCTTGCTAATTCTGGGCTTTGTAGATTTAGTGATGCCAAGTACCTATTGAATGCATGACATAACGGTAAAGGAGGAGGAAGTAGAGTTCTTCTTCAGAGTCCCTGGAACTGGATCAGCTCCTGGCCCAGAGGACCAAGCACACAAAGATTTGTGGCATCATGGATTAGATGGCAAAGCTGGATTTGGGATTCTCAATTAGGTCAATGATCTGTCTAGCAAAACGTTTAACATGTTGTTTTACTAAATGCAAGAACGCGTTTTCCTTTAGCAATTTATTAATGAGCTAAAAGCATTCTTAAAGTGGTGGAAGCTCACCAGATGTGCTTAGGGTCATTGTTTAACTAAAACAAAGTTATATATATACAGATTTATTCATGCACACATATATTAAAAGTGTCATATATATTTACATGCACGCAAAAAGAGGCATGCATGACTCATGGGATGCTCTTATGGTTGGGATCTAACCAGGAATCAGAAACCATTTGAGTTTTTAAAAAAGGAGGAGTTTAGGCCTGGTGCAGTGGCTCACGCCTGTAATCCCAGCACTTTGGGAAGCTGAGATGGGAGGATCACGAGATCAGGAGATGGAGACCATCCTGGCTAACATGGTGAAAACCCATCTCTACTAAAAGTACAAAAAAAAAAAATTAGCTGGGCGTGGTGGCTGGCCTGAAGTCCCAGCTACTCTGGAGGCTGAGGCAGGAGAATGGCGTGAACCTGGGAGGCGGAACCTGCAGTGAGCTGAGATCGTGCCACTGCACTCCATCCTGGGAGACAGAGCAAGACTCCGTATCAAAAAAAAAAAAAAATCAATTAAAGGGTTAAACTCATGCCTAGGTCGTAACACACTGTGCCAATTTACTGATTGGATTGTCCAGTTGCATGTCAGGGTCATTTTTTTTTTTTTTTTTTTTTTTTTTGAGACAGAGTCTCACTTTGTTGCCCAGGCTGGAGTGCAGTGGCTTGATCTCAACTCACTGCAACCTCTGCCTCCTGGGTTCAAGTGATTTTCCTGCCTTAGTCTCCCAAGCAGCTGGGATTACAGACACATGCCACCACACCCGGCTAATTCTTGTATTTTTAGTAGAAACGGGGTTTCACCATGTTGGCCAGGCCGGTCTCGAACTTCTGACCTCAGGTGATCTACCCACCTTGGCCTCCCAAACTGCTGGGATTACAGGCATGAGCCACCATGCCTGGCCAACAGCCAGCATTTTAAGTTGATCAAAGTAGATGTTTCTCCTCTTTTTCCTAACTCAGGCCCAGGAAGCTGTCCCTTCACATTGTGTGTGGCCAACTGAGACTGGAGACCATCTTAGACTGGATTAAGACCATCTCAGACTGGATTAAGGCTGTGATCAGTTTCTGCTGCTTCCCTGCTTTGCTCTTCTTTTTCCCTCCGTGTTGCTCAGTGCAGTTTCCAACACCTTCACAAAGGGGGCAGAGAAGTGACGAGCCTTAAAGAGGGGCATGGAGGGTAGGGCAGGAAACTTATTTGACCAGTGCTGTGGAAGCTTGGCTTCATGCTTTCTGGGCCTGGCAGATGTTTAATGCTTCCTTTCTCTTGTAGACATGTGTATGGGTTTCTTGGAGACGTTTCCAGGGTTGGGCATCTCCTACCTACAGTTCCCTTGTATTTGTCTGTTTTCACACTGCTATAAAGAACTACCTGAGGACAGGCACCATGGCTCACGCCGGTAATCCCAGCACTTTGGGGGCTAAGGTGGATGGATCACTTGAGGCCAGGAGTCTGAGACCAGTCTGGCCAACATGGCAAAACCTCGTATCTACTGAAAATACAGAAATTAGCCCAGTGTGGTAGCAAGTGCCTATAATCCCAGCTACTCGGGTGGCTGAGGCACAAGAATTGCTTAAACCCGGAATGGGGAGGCTGTGGTGAGCTGAGACTCGGTAATTTATAAAGAAAAGAGTTTTAATTGGCTCACAGTTCTGCATGACTGGAGAGGCCTCAGGAAACTTACAATCATGGCAGAAGGCAAAGGGGAAACAAGGCACGTCTTACATGGCAGCAGGAGATAGTAAGCACAAAGGTGCAAGTGCCACACTTCGAAACCATCAGATTTCATGAGATCCCACTATCACCAGAACACCAAGGGGGAAACTACCCCACGATCCAATCACCTCCCACCAGGTCCCTCCCCTGACACATGGGGATTACAATCTGAGATGAGATTTGGGTGAGACACAGAGCCAAACCACATCATCCCCTAATGAGGAAGAATGAATTTCTTTTCCCGCTGGTCTCTAAAAGGCTCCTTTCTCAGCCTCTGTGAATCTGCACTTCACCTCCAGCCTCTTTGCACTGAAGTTCCTTCACATTGTGTGTGGCCATCTCAGACTGGATTAAGACCAGCCCATCAGCACCCTCCCACATGATCCATTTCCAATCTGCAAGAAATCTTGTTGCATCCTTTGCTCCAGTAAACTCTCATGGAGCAGGGAGTGCCCAGCTCAACTGTTCCCCCTTCTACTAGCCAGCCTGCTTTCCACTCTCAGGAGTTGCAGTCAGACACTGGGCCGCTCGCTGGGCCCCACCGTGCCACTCTAACTGTGGGGTCCTGATGGAACTCCACTGGGCTTGAAGTACAGGGCAGAGCCTCTCCATCTGCTCCTTGGGTGGGGGTGGTAGAAGGGGACACCTAGCACCCTAATTGCTCCTTTTACTCCTTCAATGTGGGTAGGGGCTTTGGAATCTTATAATACTTTTTGGTTTTCTCTTTTAAAAACTTGCAGCTTGGCTTGGCACTCAACTAAGCAATATCATCTATTTTATCTCAGTGCATCAGTTGAAATTTATTTTTTCCAGATGGGGAATCTTAGAACTAAGGGAATCTCCCGATTGCATGAAGAGAACATGCCCACATCTTGAGAGAAACGGATGGATCTTCCAGTCTCTACTTTTTTCTCCCATACTGAAACTATCCCACATACAGCCCTGGGGATATCATTTGACTTTAGAGACTAGAATCCAACACCACACTCAACAACTTTCCCACCTATGCGGGAATTCTAATAAACTTAGTAACTCGGACAAATGTCTGTGAGCATTATAAAAATCACATTTCATCAGCAAGCTGTCAAAAGCAACTTTAGTTGACTTACAGCTCAAAAAAAAAAATCAACTTCATTTTCCCTGCAGCATTCATGTTATGCCTTGGTGTTTCAAAGATTTCTCATGTCTCAACATTGAAACATCCATCTTGACTAATGGCAAAATTATACCCACAGGGTTTTACAAAAGACAAAAATTTGTCCTCATTTTCTATCAGAGTATCTCCTACAATGTTTCAGTCCAGTATCTTTGAAATACCATGTTTCATCAACTGTATTTATCCTTATATAGCTGGTAGACCCCTTACAGTTTGTTTTCTTGTCTTGCTGATGCAACGGCATATGAAGGCATTTTGTATGTCACAAATTAAGAGGAAAATAGCAAAGTTGTATCAGGAGAAGAGAAACAAGTTGTTCACAGAACAAAACAAAAAGCCTACATAAACAAACTGCGCTTACTAAGTGGATATCATAAAATACATGATTTGTTAACCTAGGCACAAATCCCCCTTTCCAAACTTGGATTCTGCCATTGTCCTATACATTTATTGTCACTCACATGTCATATTTTCCCCAAATACCAATTTTCAATCGGAGTTCCCCAATTATAAACACATTTCTCTCTGCTTGGAATGACTTTCTCCTTTGTGGCCTGATATCCAGGGATTAATTCAAATGTCTGTTTCTCACGTTTGGGCAGAATCGGTTTTTCTATTCCTTGTAATCCCCTAGAACAGAGGTTGACAAACTACAGTCCTGTGGGTCAAATCCAGCTGACCACCTGTTTTTATAAAGTTTTATTGGAACACAGCCACCTCATTCATTTACATATTATTTGTGGTTGCTTTCTTGCTAGTATGTAGAGTTAAGCGGTTGCATCAGGGACTTCTTGGCCCACAAAGCCTAAATATTAATTATGTGGCACTTGACAGAAGAAAACTGCTGACACCTGCTGTATTAGTCCGTTCTGGCATTGCTATAAAGAAATACCTGAGACTGGTAATTTATAAAGAAAAGAGGTTTAGCAGGGACATGGATGAAGCTGGAAACCATCATCCTTAGCAAACTAACAAAGGAACAGAAAGCCAAACACCGCACGTTCTCACTCATAAGTGGGAGTTGAACAATGAGAACACATGGACACAGGGAGGGGAACATCACATACTGGGGTCTATTGGGGTGGGTGAGGGAAAAGGGAGGGAGAGCATTAGGACAAATACCTAAGGCATGCAGGGCTTAACCTAGATGATGGGGTTGACAAGTGCAGCAAACCACCATGGCACATGTATACCTATGTAACAAACCTGTATGTTCAGCACATGTATCCCAGAACTTAATGTAAAATAAAAAAATAAAGACGAGAGGTTTAATTGGCTTACAGCTCCACAGGCTGTACAGGAAGCATGATGCTGGCATCTGTTCAGCTTCTGGGGAAGCCTTAGGAAACTTACAATCATGGTGGAAGGCAAAGGAGGAGCAGGCAGGTCACATGGCCGGAGCAGCAACAATGGAAGTAGGAGGGAGGTGACATACACTCTTTAATGACCGCATCTCAAGAGAACTTACTATCACAAGGACAGCAGCAAAGGGATAGTGCTAAACCATTCATGAGAAATCCAGTCACCTCCCACCAGGTCCCACCTCCAACACTGGGGACTACGTTTCAACATGAGATCTGGGCAGGAACACACATCCAAATGATATCACCTGCCCTAACACATTGCATATGTACAATAGGGCCCTTGTCATCCTGGATGGAGATTGTTTGCTAACTTACAAGTTCACCCCCACCCCCACCCCCAACAGTGATAGTCTTTCCATGTACAGACCAGGAAGAACAAGGTGTCTGAAAGTTTCAAGTTTTAGCTCTGCCACTTATGAGCTGTGTGGCCTTGAAAAAACTATGTAATCTGTCTGAGATGCTGGTTTCTCACTTGCAAAATAGGGATAATAATAACCGCAAAGGTTTACTGAGAGGATTAAATGAGATATACCAAAAGTGCTTCCAATACTGTCTGGAACAACAACAAAAAAATGTTAGTGATAAGTAATCTTTTTATCCCACATACCATGGAAGTAGCCCACACTAGTAGAGTGCCTGAAATCTAGTGTCTTCTCCATAAAGTTTCCTGCATTTGTTGGCAGAGTGAATGAAAAAAGATATAAATATTCCTGGAAGATTAAAATAATGGAAAATATCCAAAGTCATAGACTGATTCCATGCACAAAGCAGAAGCTTGACTCAACATAAAGGAGGTACAATAAAGCAAAGACGTAAAAATCTTCATAGAAGCATGTCTTACTCCATTTGCATTGCTATAAAGAAGTACCTGAGGCGGGGTAATTTATAAAGGAAAGAGGTTTATTTGGCTCATGCTTCTTCAAGCTGTGCAAGCATGGTGCCAGCATCTGCTTGGCTTCTGGTGAGGGTTCAGGAAGCTTAGTGGTAGATGAAGGGGGAGCAGGCATGTCACATGGCAAGAGTGGGAGCAAGAGAGAAGCCAGACTCTTCTAAAGCACCAGTTATTGTGTGAACTAACAGAGTAAAAATTCGCTCATTACCATGAGGAGGGCATCAAGCCATTCATGAGGAATCCACCCCCATGACCCAAACACCTCCCACTAGCCCCACTTCCGACATTGGCGGTCCCATTTCGATATGAGATTTGGAGGGGACACATAACCAAATCATTTCAAAGGAGAAAAACTGGAAAGCTTTGTTAAAGAATATAAATCCTCCTTGAGTTACATGGTTAGTTTGTGTAAGACGGAAATCACAGAAATGTAGTAGGAAAGTCTACCCTCCACCCCGCTCTGCTATTCTGTTGAGTTTGAAAGAAGGAAGACAAGACACCAATGTAATTCTCACCTGCAGTTCATGCTAAGTGAGGAGACTCCCTAAATCCTTATGTACCATGACTTTTTTTTTTTGAGATGGAGTCTCGCTCTGTCGCCCAGGCTGGAGTGCAGTGGCGCAATCTCGGCTCACTGCAACCTTTGCCTCCTAGGTTCAAGCAATTCTCCTGCCTCAGCCTCCCTAGTAGCTGGGACTACAGGCGTGTGCCACCATGCCCAGCTAATTTTTGCATTTTTAGTAGAGATGGGGTTTCACCATGTTGGCCAGGATGGTCTCGATCTCTTGACCTCGTGATCTGCCCACCCCAGCCTCCCCCATGACTATTGAATTAACCAAATACATGTTATACAAGAAATACCCACAACTTGGCCCCCAAATGGGACTAGATACTCCTCCAGCTTGTGCTACACCCAGGGCCTCACCTGCCCATCTCTTTCCTAAGTCTATGGGTCCTATGCTCTTAATTCTGTAGCCTCTCTGCAGAACCCCAAGCCGGAGCACTGTAGCTGTGTCACTGGTAAGGGGGAACTGTGCTCATTTGCCATGATTAGAAGATCTTTGAAGGTCTTTGGTAGTTTTCATCAAGGCATAAAAAGCAATTATTGCAATTAATGCAATTTACCATGTGTTACTCTTCCAGAAAAGCTATTTCAGGGTAGGTCTGCCATCTGTCCCTTTCAGAGCGATAAGCCTTATCATTTAACACTGTCCAGAGTCTCAGGGTTTGCATGTAAAACCTCAGGGAGTATCCTCAGAGAAACCCACTCCAGCATTTCCTGTGGGGCTCTTCCAGGTATCAGGTTCATAGACAATCTTCACTTCCAACAACAGAAAAGCGTTTGTGTCTGGGTAGGAAGAAGAAAGAACGCGGTCTCTAAATGGATATTCAGACATTCGTTTCTGCAGAGGGAGCCCTCAACCAGCAGAGGGAGCTTACTTTTTGCCATCAACAACCCTTTCCCTTAACACAACACTGATGCTTGAAGATGTTGTCTACCAACATTGCTTCTGACAACCAGGAAATACAGAGGAAACACCATAACTGGCATATGTTGTTGCACGAGCCAAGGGGAATAGAAGAGTTCTTGCCAAAGAGATCCAAGCTAAACAGGAAGGAAAGGAGACAAAATCACGACTCATAGTTTATATTGGGTGATTTTTCAAACATAAAAAATAATGGACATTTAAGACCAAAGTCCAACTATCACAGATCAAGTAAAAATCCACCTGCTATTTTTATTCTTTTGGAAAAAAAAAAAAAACCAACCAAATACTTGATTCCTGTCTTTGTCTTTTTTAGATGGATGATGTGGGGTTCTTGGGAAATATGAAGTGGTATAAACCATTTTAAAAAGCATAGTGCCAGCCAAATGGCTGGAAAACTCGTACTTTGCTTCTCACCAATCTCCCTCATTCCTCTCTAAAAAATCTGGCTGCAGGGCTGCTAAGTGTATCGTGAAAAGAGAAACAGGGCAGGCTTTCCCCCGTGAAAATAAGATTCACGAAGGCACTGAGAAGCAAACCAGCTTTTCTCCTCATTCACACATTTGGTAGAAGCTGCCATTTTCCAAGTTTGGCACCTTTTTCCTTTCCAATAACCAAGAAGATTTTATGTATAAAATATTTATGTATCTATCAAGTACTGCCTCTATGCTTTTTAATGACTAAATGTTTCTATAATTCTTAAAATCCTAATGCTTTGGTTTGTACACTGTCTTTTTTTTTTTTTTTTTTTTTTTACTGTCAGCCATGTAGCCCTTGGGTTTATGAAAAGTTGCTGCAAAATAAATTTGGCTCTTTGAGATGATATTTGGAACCCTCTGCACTTGTTTATCAGGAGACAGGCTGTTCCCTCCTTGCCTACCTTCCAATGAGCCCAAGGGACTGGGGCAACGGTGTTTGCCTGAGGTGTAACGACAGCTTGTCCTTCTTCAGTGGAAAGAGCAGGGGTGGGGCAGAGAGTTATGTTGATTGTTCCTGAAAACTTTCCATTTTTCTTCCAATAGTGAGCTAATGCAGAGCTCTCATTTACTTTTTAGATTTTTTTTTTTTCCAAAAGATACTTCTGTACTAAAGGCTTTTATTTATGTGGTAAGGGAACTAGAGATGTCAGTTTCATTGTCAGTTTCTTAAAAAGACGGTTTTCTTCACAATGTTTGAACAGCGTGTCCACTGTAACATTTTATATTTGCTATCAGGCATTTGTTGACAAGATAGATATTTAAAAATTACTACCAGGGTTGGGTGTGGTGGCTCATGCCTGTAATCCCAGCACTTTCCGAGGCCAAGGCGAGTGGATCACCTGAGGCCAGGAGTTCAAGACCAGCCTGGCCAATGTGGTGAAACCCCGTCTCTACTAAAAATAAAATTTAAAAAAAATTAGCCGAGTGTGGTGGTGGGCACCTGTAATCCCAGCTACTCGGGAGGCTGAGGTGGAAGAATCGCTTGAACCTGGGAGGTGGAGGTTGCAGTGAGCTGAGATCACGCCACTGCACTCCAGCCTGAAGGACAGAGTGAGACTCTGTCTAAAAAAAATTACTACCAAGATGTTGCATTGAAGTTATTGGAATATTTGAAGCTTTCAAATTTTAAGGTATTGAATACTTGAAGTTTTCAAACAAGATTCAGTTTTGCATATCTGATGTGCAAATGAAATATAAATTGCAAAGTAGACTAAAGTTAATAGATATGAAAAATAACCAATGAAGAGATCATTATTGTTGTTACAACAATGACCCACCTCCCTGCTTTTGTTTTCTTCACACCCTTCTGCCACTTCAGACTGATGAGCTTTGAAGAACACAGGTGATAACTGAGATTCACGTAAACAGAGTACGAAAGCAAGGCACCCCACATGTGCCTATCATGGTCGCAGACAACTCAACCGTTCCTTCTGCAAGAGCAGCCACTGACTGGACCAGTGGCTTATCGGGGGCCCCACAGACAGCCCCAGAGCCACTGGGCACAACCCACAGAGTCCCACAAAGTGCCCTAGACAGCCTGGCCATAAACCTGTCCAATGACCTGACATGGCCTCAAACAAAGCACTCTTCCCAAAGTCGCTGTGGTAATGAACTAAACAAAGGAAATGAATTCTCTCTGGAATCGAAGAATACATAAAGGCAGGGTCAGTTAGGACCTACAGGAGAACTGAGAATCAGCGAAACAAGAAGCCATACTTAAGAGAGAACATACAGACCAGATGAGAAAGCCAGCAGAAAGTCTATCTTTGAACACGCCTCACTTCCTAATGGTTGTTGCTCTAGCCCACGTGTGTTTTTATGCTCTATGCCACTTGGCTTAAGTTGCTCGAGGGAGGCTGTGTTCCTTCTTTCCAAATAATCCTAGCACCACAGGTGAGGACTACTGTAAATAACTCAATTTACTCCCTGGAACAGCGAGTGCTGTTATTCTTAAATATCTCATAAACGTGCCTTTAAACCTGTTGTATTAGTTCGTTTTCACACTGCTATCAACATACTACCCGAGGCTGGGTAATTTATAAAGGAAAGAGGTTGAATTTACTCACAGTTCCACATGGCTGGGGAGGCCTCAGGAAGCTTACAATCATGACGGACTGGGAAACAGACACCTTCTTCACAAGGTGGCAGAAGAAAAAAAGGAAACCTATGGAAACTGCCATTTATAAAACCATCAGATCTCGTGAGAACTCTCTCACTATAACGAGAACAGCAGAGGTGAAACCGCCCCCACGCTCCAATCACCTCAACACCTGGGGATTACAATTTGAGATGACATTTCAGTGGGGACACAAAGCCAAACCATATCACCTGTACAGAATAAAGACCACTTTTTATTTTCATTTAGTACTCTGTAGACTCGACTTCTGGTAATAGGGTATTTTTTGCTACACCAAGGCTATACAGATGATTAAACAGTTCTCTGAAGAATACAGTTACCTGGTGCATACCCACCTAGAGAACCAGGTGCCCCTAGAGACTTCTCTAGTGAGAATGGTGAGAAAAAATATGATATTTGTTTGCTTGCAGCTGTTTTTTTTACTTAGGTGATTTCAAAAATAAATTTGGAGGCCAGATGCAGTGGTTAACACCTGTAATTCCAGCGCTTTGGGAGGCTAGCTGGGAGGATCTCTTGAGGCCAGGAGTTCAAGACCATCCTAGGAAACATACCAATACCTTGTGTCTACTAAAAATTCTTTTTAAAAAATTAGCTGGGCATGGTAGCACGTACCTGTAATCCCATCACTCAGTAGGCTGAGGCAGGGGGATCACTTGAGCCCAGGAGACCAAGGCTGCAGTGAGCTGTGATTGTACCACTGCACTCCCGCCTTGGCGACACAGTGAGGCCCTGTTTTGAACTCCTGACCTGAAGCGATCCTCCCACCTTGGCCTCTCAAAATGCTGGGATTACAGGTGTGAGCCAGCATGCTAGGCCCTCAGTAGGTTTTCTTATAGCAGGTCTTCACAGCTGTTATGAGTTTACCAGGGCTGCCATAACAAAGTACCACAGACTGGGGGGCTTAAGCAACAAAAATGTATTGTCTCATGGTTCTAGAGGCTGAAACCCATAATTCAAGGTGTTGGCAGGGCTGATTTCTTCCAAAGGCAGTGAGGGAAATACCTGTTCAGGGTCTCTCTGTAGGGCTTGTGTACGTCCGTCTTCGGGTTTATTCAGTATCTTCCCTGTATATGCCTGTGTTCCTATTTCTCTCTTTTATAAAGACACCAATCATATTGGATTACAGCCCACCCCACTCCAGTGTGACCTCATCTTAATTATATCTCCAATGACCCTATTTCCAAATAACTTCACATATTCTGAGATACTGTGGGTTAGGACTTCAGTATAGGAATTTTTGGGGGGGGGGGTGGGGAATAGAATCCAGCCCCTAACAACAGCTTTTGTGAAGCTGGGTCTTCCAAAATTGTACATCAGACAAAGTCAGTTCCATTCTCCACCTACACTAAGATCCCTTCAATGAAAGAGTGAACCCTAATGTAAATTATAGAGTTTATAATAATGTGTCAGTGTTGATTCCCCAATTGTAATAAATATGCCCACTAACGCAAAGATTAACATCTTTAGTAATAGGGGAAACTGAGGCAGAGGAAGAGGGGAGAAGATACCTGGGACCTCTGTACTCTCTGCTCTATTTTTCTGGAAAGCTCAAACTGCTCTTAACAATAGTCTATTAATTTTTTTTTTTTTTTTGAGACGGAGTCTCTCTGTGTCACCCAGGCTGGAGTGCAGTGGTGTCATCTTGGCTCACTGCAGCCTCTGCCTCTTGGGTTCAAGTGATTCTCCTGCCTCAGCCTCCTGAGAAGCTGGGATTAAAGGTGCACAACACCAAGTCTGGCTAATTTTTGTATTTTTAGTAGAGATGGGGTTTCACCATGTGGCCATGCTGTCTGGAACTCCTGACCTCAGGCAATCCGCCCGCCTCAGCCTCCCCAAGTACTGGGGTTAGAGGCGTGAGCCACTGTGCCCAGCCCATTTTTTAAAAGGGAAAAATCCTATGTTTTCCTTTTTTTAAAATGGAAAAAAAGAGCCCTTTGCCTGGCTACAATGACCAGAGCCTCCAGGGACCTTGGGGAGTTGCTCCCTTCCTTCTGTGACCCCTCCTCCCGTTCACTTCACTCTGCACCAACCATACTGACTTTCCTTCTGTTTCTAGAGCCTGCCAGTCTCGTTAAAAATCAAGTGCCAAGTGTTCCCTCATCCTGGAATCTTTTTCTCTCCTCAGATTCTCCAGGTCCCAGTTTACCTGTCAGTCCTCCCAGAGGACAATGCCCCAGCTCTTATTTTCCTCACTGAATTTACCATTGCTAGGTTTGATTCCTTCATCTATTACCTGTTTCTTCCTTTTCTGTCTCTGATTCTTGCTCTCATTGGGCCCCCTCTGTCTCCACCAAGACCTCCTGGTCTAAGCCACCATCTGACTTGATCTACAGCAACTGCCTTCTCACTGGTTATCAATAAGAAACTAATGAAGACAGGTGGAAGTCCTTGAAGATCTGTCCAACAATTTTGTTCTTTCACTGCAATCTGAATTTAATGAACAAGGATGTTTTTCCTCCCTATTTTCCGCTTGAACAGTGTTGCTGTAAACACACACACACACACACACACACACACACACACACACACACACGCACACTCTGAACGCCCTTCTTCACAGAAAGATCTTCGTTCAGCATTTCCGACTGAGCATCTTGGAACTGTTAGGGTAACCGCCTTAGTTGATTTCAGCTGGTACAGTTGAGAAAGGTGATCCTGAGAACAGCAAGAATTTATGAGGCAATTTAGAAAGAGATAGATTTAAAAACATTGAGTGTTCCTGGTAGATTTGGGAGCACAGGTGTACTATCTTTGATTTGGAAAGAATTGCAGAGAAATGCTGTCCAACACTGTACATGAGCTGATGTGTGGGAACAGCTTCTACATTACCGTGGAGCAAATGGGCTTTAATAGGCGATCGGAGAGGTAGAGGAGGAGGGCAGGGTTTTTACGCTTTGTTTTCTGAAGGAAATCACCTTTATTTCTCAAAATACAATCACAGGGATGAGTGAGTTAATGGTTTTGTTTTGGTTTTTGTTTGATGTTTGTTTTGTTTGGGGTTTTGTTGTTGTTGTTTTTCAAACAGCAGAAACAAACTCAAACCAGTTTAAGCAAACAAGCGGGGGTTGAAGGCAGGGACTCAGGAGCATCGAGTGGAAAGGAAGGACAGAGATGGACATTGGCTCCACGAAGCTCCCAAGCCTGCTCCCCTCTGTCCGACTGTCTAGTCCTCTTTCTCTGTGAACTGCCTGCCTTCCTCTGTTCCACAAGGTAGGCATCTGCTGCCCCTCTTCTATTGCCTAAATATAAAAATATAAGTCTTGCAGCCAGAAGAGGATGCCATGAGTCTCTTGGTCTCAATCCAAGTTCCTGGAAGAAGTAATCTGCATGGTACAGTGTCCATCTGTGGTCCAGTCTACTATAGCCAAGATGAGGGGTGTGCAGAGACTCATGGTACAAACACTCCTACTTTCCCTCCATGCTTTGCATGCTGTGGAGGAGAAATGAAGAGACAGGGAAGTGAGAAGATCCTCAGAGAAGGGAGCTGTTGGGAGCTCAATTAATATTCCCCAAGGGTCCCACAGAATGGGTATATGTGTCATTCATTCATTGAAGATTTATTGAGCCACTACTACAAGAGGGCAGAATTTCAGGCCTTAGGGACAACTCTCCCCTTTAGAAGCTGAGATGCTAGCTGGGAATCAAAACATGCATGCATGAAATTGTCAGGAAACATGTAAATAGGACCTTATTTAGGAAAATATTCACCGAGTGTCTGCCAATGGCAAGATACTGCAGGGTGTTAGGGAGCAAGAGTACTAAGCACTAGCACCCCTCCTTCTTGCCCAAGTTCTAAGCCAACTGAGAAATGAGAAAAAGCCAACAGAGACGAAAGCACTACCTCCATGACCAGCAAAGGCTAGGTTGGAGGATGTAGTTTATAGCGGCAGGCAGATGGGCTTCCTTTTCTAAACCCCAGAACGAGGCAGGGATGGGCAGAGATGGGCACAAATGGATGGGCAGAGCTGGGCACAAAGAATGATCTTCCAAAACCCATTCACTGAGCACCTTCTGCATGCCAGGCACTACTCTAGATAAGGAGACACTGCAGTGAATAAAACTATGTTTCTGCCCTTGTGAACTTGATTTCTAGTGAGGGAATATAAACCCCTCTTCAAAAAAAAAAGTTAGATAGTCATATATACAGCTGTGTTACTTTGCTCAGGCTGCCATAGCAAAGTAGCATGGACTGGGTAACTTAAACAACAGAAATGCATTTTCTCAGATGGGTGCAGTGGCTCATGCCTGTAATCCCAGCACTTTTGGAGGCCAAGGTGGGTGGATCCCTTGAGGCCAGAGGTTGGAGGCCAGGAGTCTAACCAACATGGCGGAACCCCATGTCTACTAAAAATACAAAAATTCACCGGGCTTGGTGGTATGTGCTCTAATCCCAGCTACTGGGGAGGCTGAGGCACAAGAATTACCTGAACCTGAGAGTCGGAGGTTACAGTGAGCCAAGATGGCACCACTGCACTCTAATCTGGGCAGCAGAGTGAGACTCTGTCTCAAAAAAAAAGAAAAGAAAGAAATTAATTTTCTCTCAGCTCTGGAGGCTGGAAGCTGGGACCAAGGTGCCGGCAGGGTTGGGTTGTTCTGAGAGTCACTAGGGAAGGTCTGTTCCAGGGCTCTCTTCCTGGTGTGTAGATGGTCTTCTCATTGCATCTTCACAAGGCCTCCCCTCTGTGCATGTGTGTGTGTGCTAATCACCTCTTTCTTATAAGGACACCAGTCATACCAGATCAGGGCCCACAAGAATGACCTTATTGTAATTTAAAGATCACCTCTCTAAAGACCCTGTGATCAACAAAGTCTAGGTTGGAGGCTGTAGTTTTTAGCTGCAGGCAGATGGGCTTCCTTCAATAAACCCCAGAATGAGGCAGGGATGGGACACAGCTGGCACATAGAAGGGTATGCCAAATACAGTCTAAAGACCCTACCTCCTTTACTTCCAAGATTGGGTTACAGAAAAATAATAATAAACAAAACAAAAAATAAAAATAAATAAGAAAAGACCCTATCACCAAATCACCTCCCTTCTGGAGGCTGTGAGTCTGAGATTCAGGTGTCTGTGGGTTGCTTTCTTGTAAAGTCCCTGTCCCTGGCTTGCAGACGGCCACCTTCTCCCTGTGTCTGTCTTCACACGGTTTTTCCTCTGTGCATGTCTGTGTCCTAATCTCTTCTTCTTAGGAGGGTACCCATATGACCGTATTTGACCTTAATTACCTCTCTAAAGACACTTTCTCCAAATACAATCACATTCTGAGCTAACTAGAGGTTGGGACCTCAACACACAAATTTGGGGTGAGGAGGTACAATTCAGCCCATAACATCATAAAGAAAAAGAAAGCAGTGTTATAGGATTTTGGCCGACGGAGCACTGTTTTACACGGAATGACCAGGGAAGACATTTCTGAGAAAGAAACATTTGAGTAAAAGCTTTCGTTTTGGTCGAGTGCAGTGGCTCACGCCTGTAATCCCCACACTCTGAGAGGCCGAAGTGGGAGGATTGCTTGAGACCAGGAGTTCGAGACCAGCCCGGGCATCTGTCTCTACAAAAAATAATGAATGAATGAATGAATGAATGAATGAACGAAAAGTTTTCTTGTGATGAATAAGTGCCTTGAGATCTGGAGCTCTTGGAGGCATTCTAGCTGAGTAGCATAAACAAGAACTGGGCCTTGACATGTGTGAGAAATGTCATGGAAAGTAAGAAAATAGATCTGGGGGTCATAGAAGAGTTTTATTTTGTTTTGTTTTTAGTAGCAATAGAAATTAACGTCCTATGCAGGGTGATATGCTAAAGTTATAGCAATAGAAATTACAGTCAGAAGTCAAAGACTAAATAAAGTCATAGTTAGGTGATAAAGTACAATTAATGAGAAGTTAGAGATTTGGGATTAATCTTGAGACAACTGGGTTGAGAGAGTCCTTTGAAGTTTCAGGGAAATGGGAGGAATCATGAACATGGTCTCATGGGAAGAAGAATCTCAACTCGGTACACAGAATGAATGAGAATTGGGATAAACTGAAAGGCCAGGTGACTGTGCAGGAAGCTATTCTGAGGCCCTGTGTACGTGGTCATAAAGGGCTGCTTTAAATCGCAACGGTAGCTGGAGAAATACAAAACTGGAGATAATTTCAAAGGAAGAATTGACTGAGTCAAAACTGGCATTGAAATCTCTTAGTTACGTGAACTAAGTCACACTCATTAAACTCCCTGGAAATGGTAACCTAGAAAGGAGCTATGCCATATCTACAGCTCATCTGATGCCACAATTAAAATGCATGAGGCGCAGCAAAACTCGGATTGGAAAATGCTGAACAGGTCTCTGGTCTCAGGAGACTGCAAGTTCCCGGCCATGCTGTGATTGGAATTTTCATCATTCCTTCATCTCTCAGGCATATTCACACCTAAACTGCTTGTTATCGGCTAAATTCTGTCTCTGCCAAATGCATGCATTGAAGCCCTAACACCCAGTACCTGAAAATGTGACTGTTTTTGGAGATAGGGTCTTTAATGAGGTAATTCAAGTAAAATGAGGTCCTATGGGTACCCTTCTAAGAAGAGAACAGGACACAGACATGAACAGATGGAAAACCACATGACGGGGGACACGGGGAGAAGAGGGACATCTACAAGCCCAGAGATGGGCCCTAGAATAAACCAACCTGCTGACACCTCGGCCTCAGACTTACAGACTGTAGAACAGCGAGAAAATTAATTTCTAGAGTTAAGCCACCCAGTCTGTGGATACTTTGTTAAGGCAGCCCAAGCAAAAGATTACACCATTCTACTCAGTGGCCACTTCTGAGCATGCCAGGGGCTTCCAGGAACCTTTCTTGATCCTCTTTTCCAGTGATTTGGCTCACGGCCAATACATAGCTTCATTGCTTCCTCTTAAATCCATTTTCTCTTGCTCTGTCCTTTAGTAGAGAAAATGAATTCATATCATCCTCATCATACTGTATCATCTAATACATAACCACTGGTCACTTATGGTTATTTATTTATTTTAGACGGAGTTTTGCTCTGGTCGCCCAGGCTGGAGTGCAGTAGCGCGATCTCGGTTCACCGTAACCTCCGCCTCCCAGGTTCAAGTGATTCTCCTGCCTCAGTCTCCCTAGTAGCTGGGATTATAGGAATGTGCCACCATGCCTGGCTAATTTTTGCATTTTTAGTAGAGACGAGGTTTTACCATGTTGTCCAGGCTGGTCTCAAACTCCTGACCTGAAGTGATCCACCCGCCTCAGCCTCCCAAAGTGCTGGGACTACAGGCGTGAACCACCACACCTGGCCCACTTATGGTTATTTAAATTACACTTAATTAACATGAAATAAATATAAAATTCAGATTCTTTCTTGCAGCAGCTACATTTTAAGTGTTCAATAGCCACATGTGACTAGTGGCTAACTTATTGGATGGCACATATAGAACATTTCCCTTATCGTAGAGAGTTCTCTTGGACATGCTATAGGAGAAAGCTTAAATCCCCTCTTTTAGAGCCCCAACCTGGTTGTATGTGTTAAGGTTCTTTCAGTTGCAAGCAACATAAACCTGCTTGAGGTAGATTTTTCTTCTTTTTTTAAGGTGGAATAGGAAGGTAGTTGTGGGCCTTATTGGAAGATATAAATATGCCATGAGATCAAAAGGACAGCTGGAAGAACCAAGGGCAGCTCTGATGACTTTGGCAGCAGGCTCTTGTGGCCTTTCCTCTATGGAGCTGCCAGTGGTCTTCAGTTTCCATGTTTTTTTTTTTTTTTTTTTTTTTTTTTTTGAGACAGAGTCTCACTCTGCCGCTCAGGCTGGCGTGCAGTGGCGCGATCTCAGCTCACTGCAACCTCCACCTCCTAGGCTCAAGCGATTTTCTTGCCTCAGCCACCCCAGTAGCTGGGACTACAGGTGCCCACCACCATGCTTGGCTAATTTTTGTGTTTTCAGTAGAGACGGGGTTTTGCCATGTTGGCCAGGCTGGTCTAGAACTTCTGACCTCACGTGATCCACCCGCCTCGGCCTCCCAAAGTGCTGGAATTATAGGCGTGAGCCACTGCACCTGGCTAAGTTTGCATGTCTTTTTGTTCCAAGTCTCAAAAATCAGGAAAGAGAATCTGATCGGCCCATGTTGGGACAAGGGTTCACTTGGTCAAATGTGGCTGGTGAAAATGTGGCAACTGGGTCCTCAAGGACAGAGGACAGCATGGCTACCGGTCGCCCATCCCAGTGTCTTCCCAATGATCCTGGAGAACGAGGAGTCACTCTGAGTGGGACCACAACCTCCATAAGGATCCAGGGTACTGGATGAAGGTGTCCCTTTAGCGGCTGATCCAGAACCCTCCATTGTACCATAAGAACTGCAAATGCTTTGATCTTAGCTTTACACAAACATGCTATTTCTTTTTACTCATTTGGAAAAAAACAATTATTGTGGCCTTACTTGGTGCACAGGTGCTGGTATAGATGTTCTGGGACATATAAAAGGGAAGAAGATATGTTTTGTTGCAAATATATCCAACCCCTGAATACAGACTTTTTCTATCCAAAACTGAATAATTTGAGAACTGAAAGGAGGCTGGCTTCTTTGCTGCTTCTTTCTTTAACAGCCTTAAGAAATATTTTTATGATTTTGCTGCTTCATCATTATGAAAAACGAAACAAAACAAACAGCCCTCGAATCTGAGGCCCTCCTTTCCAAGAATCCTGTTTACTTGAACAAGATCTTATTGTCAGAATCAGCGATGGTGTTTATATTATCCTCCTATAGCCCCAAATTTTTTGTTACTGAGAAAAATCCTATCATTTTTCACTTTCATGAATAGTTCATCCAAAAAGATTTTTCCAATTCCAATCGTGTACATTTTATTTAAGTCCATGAAGACACGCCTCAATCATCCCACTACCTTGGACTCTAGGATTGCAGCAAAATTCCTCCCAAAGACTTCGAGTCCCCTTAAAACAGGCTATCTAACACAAAGAAGCCAGTTCATTTCAGAGAACTCAGTTTAGATTAAACTCTCTCCTACTTTAAATTTAAAAATATTACACATGTGAGGGCAGGCACGGTGGCTCACGCCTGTCATCCCAGCACTTTGGGAGGCCGAGGTGGGTGGATCATGAGGTCAGGAGATCGAGACCATCCTGGCCAACATGGTGAAACTGCGTCTCTACTAAAAAATACAAAAATCAGCTGGGTGTGGTGGCGGGTGCCTGTAGTCCCAGCTACTCAGGAGGCTGAGGCAGGAGAATCACCTCAACTGGGGAGGCGGAGGTTGCAGTGAGCGGAGATCGTGCCACTGCACTCTGGCCTTGTGACAGAGCAAGACTCTGTCAAAAAAAAAAAAAAATTACACATGAATAATTAAAATGATTGCATTTGTGGTTAAAAAATTAAATTACGAATGATTCCAAATTTAATAATCAGGAAACAAAGGGAGGAGTATATAAAGAAGATGACAGCCAAAATGAATCTCCTGGCTAACGAAACAGTGGAGATTTTAATTTGGAGTTGCCCACTCCCAGCCCTCCACTCAGAGCACACATCCATCAAGTTTCTGATGAGTAAAAAGGACCGTGGTTTATCATGCCACCAGGGCGCTCATTAAAGATGACAGTAGATTTTGAGTTGGTGGAAGAAACTGGCACACAACAGCATGGCAGACTTTCACATTTCCTCTCATGCCTCCCTTCTGGCTATTTGCTTTATTTCTTTCTCTCTTTCTTCTTTCTTTCCTTTCTTCTTCTTTTTTTTTTTTTCTTTTTTGAGACAGAGGCTCCTGCTGTCATCCAGGCTGGAGTGCAGTGGTGCAATCTCAGCTTACTGCAACCTCTGCCTCCTGGCTTCAAGTGATTCTCCTGCCTCAGTCTCCTGAGTAGCTGGGACTACAGGTGCATGCCACCATGCCCAGCTAATTTGTATTTTTAGTAGAGATTGGATTTCACCATGTTGGCCAGGCTGGTCTCGAACTCTTGAGCTCAAGTGATCTGCCCACCTTGGCCTCCCAAAGTGCTGGGATAACAGGCGTGTGCCACCATGCCTGGCTAATTTTTTGTATTTTTAGTAGAGACGGGGTTTTGCCATGTTGGCCAGGTTGGTCTCAAACTCCTGGCCTCAGGTGATCCACTCGCCTCGGCCTCCCAAAGTGCTGGAGTTACAGGCGTGAGCCAGCGCACCTGGCCTCCCTACTCATTATTTTTAATTGCACTGAAAAATAGTGTAACCGTTGTTTCGAAGAGGCTCCAATTTTTCGATACACTCACAGTGCTTCAACATCTTTCCATGACCATGACGGGATTCAAACACTGAACTTGAATATGCTGCCATGTTTGAAACTTGAGTTATTCTGAGAAAGCTTGTCTGTAAAGCCCTCAAATACAGCAGCCAAATCATTTTTCTCCCTCATTTAGATTCTCCTTTACTAATGGAAAGTACCCATATTTATTCTTGTATTTTCTTTTTTTGAGACGGGCTGGTCTGTCACTCAGGATGGAGTACAGTTGCACAATCATGGCTCTTTGCACCCTCAACCTCCCAAACTCACGCAATCCTCCCACGTCAGCCTCCCAGGTAGCTGGGACTACAGTCACATGCCACTATGCCTGGCTAATTAAAAAAAAAAAAAATTCTGTAGAGACAGAGTCTCACTGTGTTGTCCAGGCTGGTCTCGAACTCCTGGACTCACGCTATCCTCTTGCCTCGATCTCCCAAAGTGCTGGGATTACAGGTGTAAGCCACCATGCCTGGCACGTTCCTGCATTTTTTTCTCCCTAGCTCCATTCTCTTTTGTGTTATGTAAAAGTATTTACTTCCCCTGTTTGGACACATAGTTTATTATTTTGTTAGAGCAGTTTGCCTGTTCTCTTTTGCTGATGGAAGAGTGTTACCTTTTGAGCAGTTTTTGGTTCTGGGTATTAATGCAACCATCCCAGGGATGGCAGTACCTTCCACTAAACCCATTTCCAGTTCATTTGCATTGCACAATATACATTTCCATATTTGTGTCTAGATCTAAGAGGAGCTGAAGATCATTAAAATTCTTACTATACTGAATGCTCAAAAATCTTCAGAAAATTCATTGGCTGTCTCAAGAATACCGTGATGCCTTTACCTTGCATATCCTTGTCTGTATTTTTGAGACTTTGAGTAATTATGCAATGACTTACTATAGGGCAAATTAAGGAGTTCCTGGGGTTGAAATAAATTTTCTAATTATAAGTTACAAATTAAATGTGAGGGGGAAATGGCTTTTATATTTGCAGTAAGTAGATCAGTGCTTGCATATTCAAAGAGGGTGCATACAATTGTTAATTTTTTATTACAGTAGTTCCCAGCAGTGATGAATATCATTATCAAATAGTGTTGACAATCATTTTCTGTTTTCAAAATTGAAGATTTCAGTGTGATTTCGTTAACTTCCTATTTGCTCAAGGTTGTGTTTTTATAATACAAGTAGTAACATTTTTATATCTGTAGTAATTCATGGGTCAAAATATTGTAGGCATGACTTGGGAACAAATCTGCCAAATTGTTTAATTTTTTTTTTCTGCAGCTAGTCACACACATTTGACTGATCTTTTCAAATTACTTACTGAAAAGAAACAGAAATGTGGAATTTATTTGCATTCGTTCTAGCTGAGTCTCATCACTCCAGTGATAGCATTTACTGCACTTTTGCTTTTTATTTGAAAACGAGTTGTCACTCCTTCTGGTGAAAAGTTCAGTCTCTGCTCTTCAATCTATCCCATCCATTCTGTTCTTGCTAATTGTGCATTTTCTTGGGGTAGTATTTGCCTCTTATTCAACATGTCAGCTTTCTTTGAATGAATTTCAAGGTGTTCTAGGAAATGGTGAACTGGGTAAGACTTGAACTGCTTTAGTTCCTCATTGAGAAACAATGAGCAAAAGCAGAATGAGGTAAGTGTTTTCAGGAGGAGACATTCAACGTGCTTGGGAGCACAGGGAAGAAAGATCCAGTGGTTGGCAGTTCAGGGCTCAGGGTGGAGGGATAGGGGAAGGAGGTGACTTTGCAGCAGGGTCTTGAAAGAGTGATAAGATCAGGAGGAGTGAGAGCCGAGCGTGGTAGCTGATGTCTGTAATTGTAGCTGACGTCTGTAATTTCTTTATTTTCTATAAAGCCACCTTTAATTAGTATCCATGATATTATTTTATATCCCTTACTTGATAAATTCTTCCCAGAATTCTGAGATAGGAAAAAATCTCCTGTCTCATGAAAAACTGGAATGTTTATTTTAAAAAATCATAAGATAAGGGTAACTTGTAGTGTTTCCCTTTTTGCCTTGGCTATTGGGAAACTCAGAAAGTATTTTTATTTCTTATATAGCAGCTATCATCCTTGACATAGCACTTCTGGTACAATTCTTTCTTTTCCATGGCCCTTCTTTCAGCCACATAACTGTAGTCTCTTATTTTTATTAAAAAAAAAACTATTTTGTATGTCTAGGGTATAGACAAAATACTTGTCCACAAACCTTAAAGAGATGAGGTGAAGAACCTCATAGAATATCCACTGAGGTACATAATTTAGGTGGTTCATACGGCCACCATCTTGGGCAGAAATCTGTGAGAAAGTCATGTTCTCTTCCAGTGACCACAGTGCAATTTCTGCTTCCACCACACACATGGTGTGAGACATTTAGAAACCACAATAGTTAAACAAATCTAATCATGTATTTAAACTATTAGAACCAGTTCCAAATGTCAGCGGGTCTGCAAGCAACCCTTCGCATCACATATAAGGTCTGACATCCAAGGCCCTAATACATTTTAAACTCCAACTCTTGTGCAAGTTATCTCTCTGTTCTTATCTTTACTTCTTTTGTAAAGAATTGACACTAAGCTGGCTCTTAATCTAACCTCTCTGGCAGAGTTGAAAGAGTGTCCAGTCCTTTAGGGAAAGTGGGTCATAGAAATGCCTAATTTTCAGTCCAGGCTTGTTCACTACATCTAGGTTTCTTAAGTTTATAGAATATTTTGCAAGCTGGGCTATTTGTTCCCAATTCAGCCATTCAAATAAACAAACATGTATTTAGCCCTAGTAAATGTGTCCTTGGTGCCTGGGTGTGGGAGTGAGGGTGGGGTTGGAGACCAGAGATTAAGAGACTTTGTATTTCTCTCAGTAACAGGAAAAAGGATGAGGGTATATGGCAAAAGGAGAATGAGGTAAGTGTTTTCAGGAGGAGACATTCAACGTGCTTGGGAGCATAGGGAAGAAAGATCCAGTGGTTGGCAGCTTGGGGGCTCAGGGTGGAGAGATAGGGGAAGGAGGTGACTTTGCAGCAGGGTCTTGAAAAAGTGATAAGATCAGGAGGAGTGAGATCTGGGCGTGGTAGCTGACGTCTGTAATTGTGGCATTTTGGGAGGTGGAGGTGGGAGTATTGCTTGAGGCCGGGAGCTTGAGACCAGCCTGGGTAACATAGTGAGACCTCATCTCGACAAAAAAACAAAAAAAGAAAAAAAGAAAATGCCTGGTGAGGTGGCAAGTACCTGTGGTTCCAGCGACTTGGGAGGCTGAGATGGGAGGACTGCTTGAACCTGGATGCTGGAGGCTGCAGTGAGCCATGATCACGCCACTGCATTCCAGCCTGGACTGCAAAATGAGACACTGTCTTTAAAAAAAAAAAAAAAAGAGAGAGAGAGAGGGAGGAGGTGGGTTGAAAGAGTTAAGGGGAAGGCAAAATGAGAAATGACAAGGTGATTTAAGGTGTAAATACCCGATAACTGAACAATGGAGTAGAAGAGAGGGCCAGTTATGAAAATGAAACCTGGGAATTTAGAGAAGCTTTGCGCCCATGGTGCAGGGCCTGGCACCAGGGAGTTAGACTTTCTGACAATGTGGACAACAAGGAAGGATATCATTGTTTCTGAGCTGAGTGGGCACAGGCTGTGAGCAGTTGATACAGGAAGATGACCACTGATGCCCTGTGTGACACAGTTTGGAGATGGGAAAGGCTGGAGGAAGGGAAATAGACAGCAAAGTCCACTTCTTTTCTTGCATGTTTTAAATTAAATTGAATTAAACATTACACATTAATGAGAAGATAATAGAATGGATATACCCAGAGAATTCATTCTAACCAGTGCAGTCAAACATCAGATTAAAACATTGGATTAGGGCCTTCTGGCTCTTTCAGAATTTCTGAAGGAAAGCTTGATTGTGTAGTTTAGATTTAGTGCATGATGTTTTAAAAAAATGTTTTATTTTTGAGACAAAGAGGGTCTCAGTTTGTTGCCCAAGCTGGAGTGCAGTGACACCATCACAGCACCAAGCCTGGCTAATTTTTTATTTTATTTTTCATAGAGATGAAGTCTCCCTATGTTGCTCAGGCTGGTCTCAAACTCCTGGACTCAAGTAACCCTCCTGCCTTGGCCTCCCAAAGTGCCGGGATTACAACCATGAGCCACTGTGCTTGGCCCAGTGCATTTTTGCTGAGGACACTTCTCCTAAAATCCCTTTTAATTCGCTCCTAATTTCTTTTCTCTTTTGTGTTCAAGAACTTTTACAAAACTGCCACTGAGGCTGAATGCACCCTCATTCCCGGGGAACATGGGCAGAGGGCCAGTCGGTTGTCTGTTTCATGACAGAACAATGTTCCTATGTACTGGAGCTTTGGACAAAAAGAAACCATCATGGGTACTCAATGTCTGACCCTCATTATGTAGCCATTGAGACCCTCTGCCCACCTACAAAAACAAATTCTTAAGAGTAAATGTAAAAGAAATAATATACGTATGTATAATGGAAGGCATACACACAAATGTAAATACATAATGGATAATGGATATCCTATTGGATAATAGACATGTTCAGGTAATCCCTAAATTTAATCGATAGTTTTAACTTTTTTTCACCCATTGATAACAAAACAAAAACCAACCAGCCAAAGAAACAAATCTTACCTCTGTCCTTGTCCCTGCAAAGTTGCTGGCTTACTGGAATGGTTCAAACACCGCAGCAGCAGGCAACAAAAGGCTAAAACTCCCAGGATCATTAGCATCTTAGAAGTGGCTAGAAAGGGGAGAAACCTCTTAACTGCTGATATGTAATTAGAGGGGCCTGTGTGAAAACATAGATGCCTTTGTGGGTATTGGCAGGTGTAAGGATTTCTACTTGTATCTTGACTAATCCGGGACAAACGAAAACTCCAAATCTCCATTTAAGTAGGACCAGCTTTCACAGACTTTTTCCACTTTCCAGAGCCAGAGATTAAATTATCGATTAATGAATTAAAGCATGAATTGTTACAGCTACTTTCAGTGGGAAACACTGAGGTATACAACTACTTCTATGGAACGTACAGCCACTTGCAATAGGTTACTTTTGTCTTCTCTCTTCTCCTCCTGCAACTAAAATACCTTACTTTTAGGACTATGGTTTCAAATTATATCTATTTTTACATGTTACAAAACTATCCCCAAGAGACTGCCTGCATTAGGGAAAAGCTGATATGTCTATTTGCACGTAAGTACCCAAGAGACACGGTATCTGTTTACAGGATGTGCTGCTCCTCGTTGAAGGTAACTTGCTCTGAAGCTACATTCACATAGGAGTGGGGCTGAATACACTTTCCCATGGTGTTCATGTCTCCTCCAGCCTTATTATTTTAAGAGCCAGATTCTAGAAATATCAGTCGCTCTTGGCAAGTTCTGGCTCTGTTGGGGGCTCTCTGCAAACTCTGCTTTCAAAATGCGTGATGCTTTAGGTTTTTTGAACAAAACAAAAAAGTACAGTAAGACAACTACGATTCTCATCACTGCCTGCCCAGTTGACAGCTTCTCACCTGACTTCCTATGATATATCTTTTGTTTGAAAGTTCCCTGTAATCTAATGGCAGCTGCTTTTGGTTCTTTGAATTCACTTATTTTCCTTGTATGATGAGTTATCATGGCTATAGCTTAGGAGGACTTGCTAAGCTCTCAGATCTCATTCTTGGTAACTTTTCCTTTAATTCTACATCAAGTAAGGTCATACGGATTGAACATTCTATGTATGGCAGGTATAAAGTGTCACATCCATACTTGAGATTTCATCCTTTTCTTGACTGATATAGTTAGAATTTTGGACCAACATGAAGCCATACGTTGTACATTGAGTCTTCTGTAATGTGCTGGTAACCATCTCCATTTAGCGGTTCAATAATTTTTGACAATACACCTGCCAAGCTAGCTTTCCAACTTGCCTTCTATAGAGAGTTTCGTGTTGAAAATTCCCTAGAGATGTGGCTATGACTTAGGTGTCTTTCAGAGTGACTGCTCTTCTGGTTCATGTACAAAGTGGGGCCGGGCTCAGTGGCTCACTCTTGTAATCCCAACACTTAGGGAGGCCAAGGCAGTTGGATAATTTGAGGCCAGGAGTTCGAGACCAGACTGGGCAACATTGTGAAACCCTGTCTCTACTTAAAAAAAAATTTATATATATATACAAAAATTAGCTGGTATGGGGTGCATGCCTGTAATCCCAGCTATTTAGGAGACTGAGGCATGAGAATCCCTTGAACCTGGGAGGCAGAGGTTGCAGTGAGCCGAGATCATGCTACTGCACTCCATCCTGAGTGATGGAGTGGGACCCTGTCTCAAAAAAAAAAAAAAAAACAAAAAAAAACCAACTCCCAAAACAACAAACAAACAACAAAACAAAGCAGCCCTCTCTGGCATGTTTGCTTTTTTGAGAATTGTTATCCACAGAAACAGTTCCTGAATATCGACCTCAATAATTTTTAAGTACATTTGCAACTTGTTGACTTGCGGAATTCCTAGAGGACAAAAAGCATGTGTTAATACATCCTACTAGGTCTTACATCTGAAAACTTGGGCTATCAAAGCACAATGAATTCAAATGACCTTGATATAAAACTTTGTCTTCTTACTTTGGAGAAGAGTCATGTGATCCTTGTTTTGAGTTTTGAGTTTTGTTTTGCTTGATATTACAGGAGAGTACACCTTGGCAACTCTCCTGGAGAATTTTGGTGTTCCCCTCAGTTTTATCTAAGTCTAACATACTTACCGTTCATTTTATGCCATTTGTCTTAAGTCAGGCCCTTTGGTTTCAGCTTCCTTTACTAAGCCTTGCATTCTTCCATTCAATTCATAGGCATACACTACTCATTAGTCCTACAATATACTAAGTTGATAGTTGGCAGTTATTAGGCTCTTATTATAAATTGGGTACCATTGTAATTATATGCATTAACTCACTTACTCTTCACAACAACCCTATAATTTAGGTATTAGTGTTATTTCCACTTTACAGAAATGGAAATTGAGCCTCTGGGAGATTAAGAAACTTTCACAGCTCCTAAATGAGGAAGCTAGTATTCAAATTAAGACCCATCTGATTCCAAAGCCATAAGAATATACGGCTTCCCTACATAACTCCAGGCAGACTCTTTCTGGTTAGAAATGTACAGTTCTTCAGTCAAAGGAGTATATGTTCTGAAATGAAATTTGGAGACCGCAAAATTAAAGATAAATAGCAGATCTAGTCCCAATTTTTTTTTGTA